>NC_000012.12:114732855-114884370 GCF_000001405.40 Homo sapiens
TGGCTGGACAAGCAGGTCAATTTTAGCAGGAAACCAACATTTAAGTGGTGCTGGCTAAGTCAGGGTTCTGAAAGCTGGCTCTGACCTTTGCAAAAGCCTGGTCTTTTCACCTCATTTTACACCTGGAAAGCCTGAGTGCTCCAGAAACTAACATTTATGAAACAAACACACACACAGACACATACAATCTTAATAAATGCTTAAATATATACATATATGTATATATTTATATATATTTATACATGTAAATATATATAAATATATATATTTATACATGTAAATATATAAATATATATTTACATATATAAATATATATATTTACATGTATAAATATATATTTATATTTGTAAATATATTTTATATATAATGTATTATATATTATACATATTTTAAATATATAATATATAATATATATTATACATATTTTAAATATATAATATATATTATATATATTATACATATTTTAAATATATAATATATATTATATATTATACATATTTTAAATATATAATATATAATATATATTATATATTTTAATTTATATATAATATAATATATAAATACATAATATATATTTATATTATGTATTTATATATTTATATATTATTTATATATTTATATATAATATATTTATATATTATTTATATATTTATATATAATATATTTATATATTATTTATATATTTATATATAATATATTTATATATTATTTATATATTTATATATAATATATTTTTATTTATATATGTATATGTATATATATACACACACATACATACACACACACACACAGGACACACAATGCTTTATGTATATACATACACACAAACACACAGACATACATGCCAGGCATGGTGGGAGGTACTTCCAAATTGCTATCACTTGCAATCTTCACAACCCTGACAGAGGAGGCTTTTTGATTTTATTGTTACAAATTCTCATTGCATAGATGGGCATACTGAGTCTCAGAGAGGTTAAGAGGCTTGTTTAGGATCACTTAGCCAGGAACTGTCAAGTGGGACTTGAAGTCTCCTGTTGTCTCCATGCTCAGCCTTCTTTTCACTTTAACCTTGAACCTCTGAACTCCAGAGCCCAGTGGAGGATCCCTGGAGGAGCAAATAGAAGAAACCCAAAAGGGACTTGAAAGCGGGTCCCCTCCCTCACCTGGATTCCCAGTCCGAAGAGGAGGAAGCATCCGCCCTCCTTCCCTCCTTCTGACCCACCCAGCCACCCACCCAAGGTGCCATTAAAGTTAATTGTTTTTACTGCCAGTTTAACATAGTCTTGTAAATCTTTTTACGATGTGGCCGGGGAACACCGAGCTGCATGCAGGACTCAATGGAGTTGGAGCACAGGAGCGTGGCCCCAGAGCTATCTGGAGGGTGTAAAATGGGAGCGCCACGTCTCTCCAGGGGCACCCTCTTCCCTCCTCCTGGAGCACCAGGCCCAAGACCCTCATCTGAGTGGCAGTTCTCCCAGGCGAGGCTAGGATTGTGCCTGGAATGCTAAGATCCTCCAGGTCACCCCCACTGTTTCGAGAGGCCATCCCTCTTGACTCTAAGTTGTGGAATCCTCCAGAATCCGAGGCCTCCAAGCCCTGGAGAGAGGTTCTGGATCCTTCAGAAAGGTTGAGGGGTGATTCCCATATAGAAAGCTTGGCGCTGGGTCTCTCCATTTGCCCACCAAGGACCGGCAGGCAAAAGCACTGCAAGGTGGACGTTTAGGGGTATGAGGGGCGCACATTCCATGGCGCAGGGACTCTGGAGGTGCAGGTCTTCTACGAAGGTGATTCCGCCATTTCCCAGCCATTACCAGCGGAGAGAGCTGAGTCTTCCTGAACAGCGCCTTTAAGCTGGTTTGTCCCAGGTTGGTGGAGCGGGACTCAGCGGTTTCTGTCCCTTGGGTAGACCTTGGCTTCCATCTGTCTGGGTACAGGCACGATTTCCCTCTCCCGGTTCCTGGCATCCCCATTGTGAGCCATCCATGTCAAAATAAGGGTCTTAACTCCCACCGTTGTCACTAGCATTAAACAGACACTCCTAATGTGCCCAGAAAAATGCCAGGCGCACGCTAAACATCTGTAAACCACGGTGACAGCTCTAAGCGTTCATGATTAAGCCCAAATATTTATTAGGCACTGGTGTGCAAGCCTTGTGTAAGTGCTGAGGACACACAGAGAAGAACGACGTACTTTCCTCTAAAGAGGGTTTTTTGTTATTGACAAAGGAACCTAGAGGGCATCAACGCAACACACAGAGCAGTCCTTCCCAAAACATACCCCGGGAACCGGTTAGAAATGCGCATTCTCAGGCCCAGCTGAGACCAATTGAATGAGGTGTCCGGGAGCGGGGCCCAGAATTCCTGTTTTAACAAAGCCCCCACGTGATTGTGAGCTCCTTAAGGTTCGAGAACCCTGATGCAGTGAACGCAGGCGCAGGCTCTGGAGTGAGAAATTGTGGGTTTTCATCTCCTTGCATCTATGTTGTGGGGCTTTGACCAAGAAATGGTAACAAACTCAGAAGGGGAGAAGGGGAAAGAGAGTGGATGGAGTAGGGGCGGTGAGAAGGAAGACAAGGGAATAACCAGCCCTCTTCCCAACAGGGCTTCCTCGATCAGAGGCCGAATTTCCGAGCAGGATAGACCAGGGGGCTCGAACTAATAATTCTGAGGGGTCAGAAAGGCCTCTCAAAACGCGCCGCGATTTGAAACCTGCAAACGCGGGGTTCAGGTCGGCTCCGTTTCTTCCAAGCAGCCTGCCTTTGGGGCACCCAACCCTTCCCAAGCCTCGGTTTTCCCGATCTTGTGGGATCCTTGCGGCGCGAATGGGGTTGGAAGCACCTTGGAAGCTACAGAGTACCGGGTCGGGACAATTTCCGGCACTGCCCCAGTTCAGTGGTTTATAGAAAATTTCTTTCTCTCTCTCAGGTCCACTAAGACCGAGAGAGAGAGAGAAGTCGACTCTGGCACACCCGGGCGAGGGGCTGCCGGGATTCGGGAGCTGGCGCGGTTGATTTTTTCCGAGAATCCTCCACTTGGGGTGACGTCGGGCAGCGCGCGCGGGCCGTGAGGTTAATGCCCAGGCTTTTCTCTAAAGCGTCCGGGAATGATCCGGCGAATAAAACGGGTGTCTGCAAAGTTAATGAATTGTACAAGGAGGCTGAGGGTGGGGACTTCGACCCGGGGAGCCAGAGGCGGTTCTGGTGGACGCTTCCCCGTGCGCCTAGGGGTGCGCTGGGCTTTCCCAGCCGAGGTCTGCAGAGCGCACCGCGTGAGCTTCATCGATCTCATCCTTCTTCCAAGTGGGAGGAGGTGGAGATGCTGGGAGAGTTGTGGGGAGTTGGGAGTGGGTTGGAGGGGGACTGTCTAGATTCTACTCTGGAGGATCCAATCACGTGGTGCTGTTCCCCTGCCTAGAACTTCAAGGTTTTCCAACGGTTTGAATAAAACCCAAACGATGCCCGATGTCCAACGAACGAATGATCTAGCCTCGGCCTACTTCTCAGGACTTAGCTTTGTCCCTGCCCGCGACTTCCCGCTGGGAACGTCGTCCCCGCCACCACCGGCTCTGCTTAGGTTCGAACTCTGGGCCACTCTTCCTACTCCCTCTGGTTTCCAGCAGGAGAAGCGCTTCGGAGGAGGGGGCTAGGGGCGCTCAACCTCCCGGGTTAGAGGAAATGCAAGTTGGGCCAATTTCGCCCTTCCAGACTCCGAGGCGGATAGGCCCAGGGGGCAGCGGCCTTGCCCGGCGGCCACTGCCCTCCTCCTCCCCCGCGCCCCCTGGCTAGGCTTTGAAGAGCTCATTTTAAGAACTTTTCCATTTTCCTTTTGGAGGCGTGTTTGTTCTTCTCAGTCACCTCGCTTTTTTTTTTTTTATGAGCTTCAGCGCTGATCTGCACGTTCTTCCCTCCGTGTAATTTCAATTTGAACTCTCCCCAGAGCGGCCTTTTCCCTCTTGTTGCCTGCCAAGTCGTTTGAAGGCTAAGCAAACATTCTTCCTCCCTCCCGTCCGCGCGAGTCTCGGTCTACACCCGCGAGGGGAGGCGGAGGCGGTTACTCCGAGAGTTCCGGTGGGTTGGAGCCTTTCAGCAGCCGCCTTCAGACTGTTTGGGAGGCCGAAAAGCGGGAGGGGAGGTGAAACACCGGAATAAATGCCCCTACGACCGCTCTTCTCAAGGGTTATGGTGGGCGTGTGTGTGCGTGTGTGTGTGTGTGTGTGTGTGTGTGTGTATACATTCCGTAACCCACATTAGAAGTCTTGGGAAGGGGGCCGGGCGCGGTGGCTCACGCCTGTAATCCTGGCACTTGGGGAGGCAGAGGCGGGAGGATCACTTGAGGTCAGGAGTTCGGGACCAGCCTGGACAACATAGTAAAACCCCCTCTGTACTAAAAATACAAAAATTAGCCGGGTGTGGTGGCATGTGCCTGTAGTCTCAGCTACTCGGGAGGCTGAGGCAGGAGAATCGCTTGAACCCAGGAGGCAGAGGTTGCAGTGAGCCGAAATTGTGCCCCTGCACTTCAACCTGGGCAAGGGAGCCAGACTCCCATCTCAAAAAAAAAAAAAAAGAGAAGTCTTGGGAAGGAGGACAGTGGAGACACACAGGGAATGATCCAACTGAAGTAAGCTTCAGCACTCAGTAAGTGTCCAGCTCTGTTCTTTCCACAGACTGCCTCCTTCAATTTTCAGCCAGTTTTGTGGCTAGGTGTTAACCCCATTTTACAGGTGGGAGACATTGAGGCTGACTGATGAGGTTAGTTTCTCAGCCACCCTTCTAAGATCTAAGTCCACTTTTGAGCAAGTGCTCTGAATAACAATAATTATCTTACAGCTTAATGTACGATTATTAAATACCACTCCCCTTTCATTTTACCATTGAGGCTTATGTCTTTATTGGTTGTTCAAGTAGGGCAAAGGAAATGGCCTTTTAAAACTCAGAGGCCAGGTACTGTGGCCCTTGCCTGTAATCCCAGAACTTTGGGAGGTAGATGTAGTGGATCACTTGAGGCCAGGAGTTAGAGACCAGCCTGGGCAACATAGTGAGATCCCGTCTCTATTTTTTTTTTCTTTGAGACGGAGTCTTGCTCTGTCATTCAGGCTGGAGTGCAGTAGCGCCATCTCAGCTCATTATAACCTCCGCCTACCAGGTTCAAGCGATTCTCCTGCCTCAGCCTCCCCAGTAGCTGGGATCACAGGCATCTACCACCACGCTGGCTAATTTTTTGTACTTTTAGTAGAGATGGGGTTTCACCATGTTGGTCAGGTTGGTCTGAACTCCTGACATCCAGTGATCCATCCACCTTGACCTCCCAAAGTGACATTACAGGCGTGAGCCAGTGTACCCGGCCTTCTATAAAAAATTTAAAAAATTAGCCAAGCATGGTGGTTTGTACCTGTAGTCCCAGCTACTCAGGAGGCTGGGACAGGAGGATTACTTGAACTCAGGAGGTCAAAGCTTCAGTGAGCTGTGATTGTGCCACTGTACTCCAGAGTGGGCAACAGAGAGATACCCTGTCTTAAAACAAAACAAAACCAAACCAGAGAAACTGGGTGCCTGTCATTGTATCCTGTCAGAGAAAACATATTGACAAGAAACATGAAAACAAAAAAAAAAAAGATTAAGTACCTATAACAACTGCCCTTTTTAATATATATTTATAATGTTTATTGTTATAAAAAAGTAGAGATGAGGTGTCGCTATATTGTCCAGGCTAGTGTTGAACTCCTGGCCTCAAGTGATCCTCCCACCTTGGCCTCCCAAGGTGCTGGGATTACAGGCATGAGTCACTGTGCCCAGCCACAACTGCCCTTTATTAAGCATGTAATTATGTGCCAGGCACTGTTCTAAACTGTCTACTTACATATTTCTCACAATGTCTTTATGCATTAGGTACTTTCCACGTGACAGATAGGAAAACTGAGGCACAGAGAAGCTGAGTAACCTGCCCAAGGTCACACAGCTAGAAAGAGCTGGTTGCAGGACTTAAACTCAGGCAGAGGCACCCCTAACCACCAATATGCATCCCTCTGCCCTTCCCAGCTCTCTCCTGAGTCACATGAAAGAAACCCCAGGCTTACTGGTCCTAGGCTGCAGTTTTCCTCCCCAAGGTCGCTCTGGGGACAAACAGGAAGATGGGAGGAGGCATGGGGCAGTTACATAAGGCGGTCACTTCAAAGGTGGCCTCTCCGGGGTGGATAGCCTTGGCTTTGGGCAGTTAGCTGGAGCACCAGCCGGCAAGCTGAGGGCTGTCCACCATCTATCTCCTACCCAATCTCCTCTTAGTCCAACGGCAAAACGGGCAGTGGAGGAGATGAAGGCTGGACTAGGGGGGCGAGGAGGCAGGTCTTGTAATCAAAGCTGGGCAGTGGCAGAAATCAGGTGATGCAAATAAAAATAAAAATAATAACACCAGGCTCAGTGGCTCATGCCTGTAATCCCAGCACTTCGGGAGGCCGAGGTGGGCAGATTGCTTGAGGCCAGGAGTTGGAGACCAGCCTGGCCAACATGGCAAAACCCCGTCTCTATTAAAAATACAAAAATTAGCTGGGCATGGTGGCACATGCCTGAAATTCCAGGTACTCGAGAAGTTGAGGCACAAGAATTGTTTGAACCCAGGAGGCGGAGGTTGCAATGAGCCAAGATTGTGCCACTGCACTCCAGCCTGGGTAGCAGAATGAGACTCTGTTTTAAAAACAGCAGCATTTATTGAGCATTTACTATAAGCTAAGCCCTTATGTTAACAGCTCTGTAGGTAAGGACTTTCAATCGTTTCCTTTAAGGGGCTCAGAGAGGTTAAGTCATTAGTTCAGTCGCACGGCTGGGCTGCCTGCCCTAGTAGGAAGGAGGCCTACAGCAGGCACTAACTTCATGTGAATTTGGCACATTCTGGCGGAAGTGGGTTCTCACTTTCTGTGATGCAAGTTGCAAAACAGAATGAGAGGATCTCAGAATGGTAGGTCCAGCTACCCTCTAGATGGGAAAACTGAGGCCTGGTGAGGGGTGGAGTATGACCTAAGGTCTTACATTAAGTCAAGAGGGAATCCAGTGTAATCTCAGCACTTTGGGAGGCCAAGGCAGGCAGATTTCTTGAGGTCAGGAGTTTGAGACCAGCCTGGCTGGTGATACACGTGTGTGTATCACATGGTGAAACCTCATCTATACTAAAATTAGCTGAGTGTGGTGGTGCACGCCTGTAGTCCCAGCTACTCAGGAGGCTGAGGCAGGAGAATCACTTGAACCTGGGAGGCAGAGGTTGCAGTGAGCCGAGATCACACCATTGCACTCCAGCCTGGGCAACAGAGAGAGACTCTGTCTCAAAAAAAAAAAAAGGCCAGCAAGGTGGCTCACGCCTGTAATCCCAACACTTTGGGAGGCCTAGGTGGGTGGGTCAAGAGGTCAGGAGTTTGAGACCAGCCTGGCCAACATGGTGAAGCCTTGCTTCTACTAAATATACAAAAAAAAAAAAAAAATTAGCTGGGTGTGGTGGCACATGCCTGTAATCCCAGCTACTCAGGAGGCTGAGGCAGGAGAATTGCTTGAACCTGGGAGGCGGAGGTTGCAGTGAGCCAAGATTGCGGCATTGCACTCCAGCCTGGGCAATAGGATGAGACTCTGTCTCAAAAAAAAAAAAAAAAAAAAATGGAATCCAAGTGATCTGAGAATAACTGCCCATGCCCCCACCCCAGGCCAGGGTACTTCCCTCAGCTCTGAGTGAAGAAGAAAGGGTATGGCCTGAGACAGAACTGTGTTTCCCTTCTGTCCTCAACTTATTATGACTTTATGCAAGTCATTCAATCTCCTTGGGCCTCAGTTTCTGCAAAATCACGGTGGTACACGGAGCATGCAAATCATGCAAAATCATGGTGGTACAGATTATTTAATTGCTCGGGCACTTGGTGGTGATAATGCTCGGGGACGCTCATGAGGCCACAGCCAGGAAGCAGAGCCAACCACAACCGGTCCCTCAATCCTGAAGTTCTATGAAATCGAGGCTCCCAGGCTTCTGGAGGGTGATGGCAGTTGGAGGTTCACTGTATCTTTGAAGAAGCACCCTTTCTTTGTCAGGCACCCAAAGGGCCTCTTGATCCCGGCCCAGGGATAGGCTACATGTGCTTCCACAAGAGAAGTAGATTGTCTCCCCATCACTGGGATTTGTGTGGGGCCTCCTTTTTCTTGGGGGTGTGGAACTCAAGGTGGGTGTCGGCTCAGGGTCTCCAAGCCCAAAAGCTTTGCATGTTAATGCCTGCATATATACCCAACCACAGCAGCTTAGGTGCATATAAACTGATGTTAGGCCCACATAGACATAGTCCACGGCAGACCCTCACCCAGCCCACCTTCCTCCACCTCATTATTATTATTGTTATTATTTAAGCGCTGTACTTTGTCTAGTCCCTAATGTGAGCCAGGTGTATTATAATTAATAGTATAACATCTGAGATTCAGAGAGGTGAAAACACTTGCCTAAGATTCACAGCTAGTAAGTGGCCCAAGACAGGGAAAGACTTACACAGATGATCGGAGCTAGGCAGAGGGGAAAGGAAAGGGACATGCAGAGGCAATGTGACAGAGAGAAGAAAACTCCTGGGTGGGTGGGGTGGTTCATGCCTGTAATCCCAGCATTTTGGGAGGCTGAGGTGGGTGGATCACTGGAGGTCAGGAGTACGAGACCAGCCTGGCCAACATGGTGAAACCCCATCTCTACTAAAAATACACACACACACACACACACACACACACACACACACAAAATTAGCCAGGTGAGGTGGCGCACGCCTGTAATCCCAGCTACTCGGGAGGCTGAGGCAGGAGAATCTCTTGCACCCAGAGGCAGAGTTGTAATGAGCTGAGATTGCCCCACTGCACTTCACCCTGGGTGACAGAGCAAGACTCCGTCTCAAAACAAACAAACAAACAACAAAAAAAAAACCCCGAAAACTCCCATCTCCCTTTCCTCCCAGCCCTAAATTGGGCATTAAGCTGGACTGTCCTTGACATGACCACAGACACCCGAAGCCAGAGTCCCAGGAAGTCCATTGTTTCTGCAATTATTGGTATTATTTAAGCTGTGAACAATATCTGCAGAAATGTGCTGATGGATGCTTTGGGGTTGATTTATCCTGAGATTCCCATTCCTTGAGACTCTGTGGGGGAGCTGACCTTTTCACTACAGAAATTTTAGGCTTTCTGCATCTGCTCCAGGAAATGGGAG
Source organism: Homo sapiens (assembly GCF_000001405.40). Taxonomy (NCBI): domain Eukaryota; kingdom Metazoa; phylum Chordata; class Mammalia; order Primates; family Hominidae; genus Homo; species Homo sapiens. The sequence continues at coordinate 114,742,062 of NC_000012.12, forward strand.
GAGTAAAGGATGCCACCAGGCACTGGGAGGCATGGGGTGCACTGCGGTGTCCCTCCAGTTAGAGTCAGGTGGAGCCTTGGGCATTATGTTACAGACTCAGAGAGGGACACTGACTTGGCCAAGGCCACCCAGAGTCAGGGAAGGCATTTGGCCTCCAACCTCAACGCGAACTTGCCCTTGCCAGGTGCTGCGGGCTGCCTGGGGGTGCTTTGAGCTGCAGTGGGGAGGAATTGTGGGGCAGAGGGAATGGTGATGGGGTGTCTCCTTAATGGCCCCAGGGGTCATGTGGCTGGTGGCCAAGCTCTGACTCTTGCCTCCCACCTCTCCATGCCTGAGTGCTGTCCTGGTTAGGGCGGGCAGGCATTTTGTTCACATTAGGGGCTGGAGAGGTGGCCACTTGGGAAGGAGCAAAGGAAAGCAGGGTCTGGAGGGTGATGCAGGGGTGGAGGAGTGCTTGCGGCGGTAGGCTGTGAACAAAGGGGCCTGCATTGGATCAGGCAGGGCCACTGAGTGACGATTCACAGGCCAGCAGGGAGGGGCACGCTGCCGGACCCACACAGATGGGGCAGGGAGGAGAGCAAGGAGACTCAGAGTCAAACTCATGCAGAAAAGAGAGCGGGATCCAGATAAACACAGAAAAGAGAGATGGAGGCAGGTCTGGAGGCAGAAAGATAGAGACAGGGTACTCAGGCATGCGCGTGCATGCACGCGTGCACACACACACACACACACACACACAGAGGTACAGACAGCAGAGATAGAGTGAAATGGGAGAACTAGTCAATGTGATTTGTGGCCAGCAGTGGACAGAAAACCAAATCAATGTAAATTAATTTCATTTGGTTTTGTTTTAGAGACAGGGCCTTGCTCTGTCACCCAGGCTGTAGTGCAGTGGTGTGATCATGGTTCACTGCAGTCTCCAACTCCTGAGCTCAAACAAGACTCCTGCCTCAGCCTCTTGAGTAGTGAGGGCCACTACTTTCTTCATTTTTATAAATAAAATAATTTATTTTTATTTTATTTTTTGTAGAGATAGAGTCTTGCTATGTTGTCCAGTCTGACCTTGAACTCCTTGAACTCCCATTGAGTCTTCCCAATGTGCTGAGTTTACAGATTTGAGATGGCTTGAGCCACTGGACCCAGCCTAAGCGGTTTTCAATAACCCTACTTCCACCCCAGAACACCCTATCTCCAATTTAAAATTTTCATCTTGCCAGGTCTGGAGTGGCCATCTGAGCGTGGGCTCTCCAAGGCTGTCTGTGGCTAGGCAGGGCCTCAAGCAGACACTCATTGGGCACACAGAGTCCATGTCCAGCGGTAGGGACATGAGTGTATGCACACACGTGTATCACAGGGTCATAGGACCTCCCCAAGATACAAGCATCCTCATCGAATATGTGTGCACACACTCATGAAGGTCCAACACACACACACACATACACACTTTAATTGCTGCAGCATGCTCCTGTGAGCACACATTTTTGCTGAGCACCTAACATATTCCAAGTTCTAGGCTGAGCATTAAAGGCAGAGAAAAACACAGAAAAGGGAAGGCTGTCTCTCAGTCTCCCAGAGGGAGGCTGCTGGGGTGCTGGGCACAAGGACTGTCCCTCTGGATCCAGGGCATAAGGACTGCCCCTTTGTCATTGGGAATGCCCAAAGACAGGGTCTGTGGTAGGGCAGAAGTGTGTCCTCCCACCACAGTCAGGAACAAGAACATCCACCCAAGGGCAGCTGAGCTTGGGATAAGTTCAGGGCCTCCCAGAGTGTAGATTCTGTCCTTTCTTCACCTGAATTTCCTCCATTGACATGAGAAATCAGGAAGCTGGGGAGGGGATTCCTGGCCCTCCATCAACCCTCAGAACTGGCTGGGTGTGGTGGCTCATGCCTGTAATCCCAGCTACCTGGGAGGCAGAGGTGGGTGGATTGCTTGAGCCCAGGAGTTAGAGACCAGCCTGGGCAACGTAGTGAGATCCCATCTCTGCAAAAAATAAAAAAATCTCAGCATAACTCCCCTCCAATATCTGTTTCTTTGGGGAGTCAGGCATGGGAGCCTACCTGTCTCCTACTTCCAAATAGAGGACTGGCCCCCCACCCCAAAGGGGATCCTGTGGGAAAAGGGGAAAGGTGTGTGATTTCCTTTTGTTCTTGCCCCGGCATCCTGAGAGGATGTGAATTTCCTTCATGCTGGGGTGAGTGTAATGGTGACACCCAGTTGCTGCTCCCAATGCGAGCTGGTCTTTCTTGAATTTCATTTCAAACATCCTAATGTTTGTAACAATGGCCAACATTTATTGAATGCACACCACGCACAGGGCACTATTCTTAGCACTTCGCAAATACGGCCTCATAAAAGGCTCAGAACAGCTCTGTAACTTAGGAGTAATTATCGTGAAGCCCATTTTACAGATGAAGAAACTGAGACCCAGGGAGGGGAGGGCATTTGCCCAAGCTCATATGGCAAAAATTCACAGGCAGACAGGCTCACTTCAGAAGTCAAGCTTTTAACTGACATTCGCCCTTGTAGCCAGGGTTTCTCATCTAGCTCTGTAGGCCCCAGAAATGGACAAGATGTGGTGGGGTGTGTGTGTGTTTATTTGTGTGTGTGCATATTCATGGGTGTTGTAGGTGGTATAGATTCCAGGGGTCGGCCAGAGGCTACACTGGGATTGAAACAGCAGAGGCCCAAGCCAGGGAGAACTTTCAAGGAGAGCCGCCGTTTCCTCTGACTGCAAAGGAGGCCTCATCCAAGCCCACCAGCTCATTTACGCTTCACTTTTGGTTCTGCAGCAGAGTTGCAGAGCGTCCCGGCTCTGCGCCCAGCCTGCCTGCCGTGTAACAAGATAGTTTATATTATACCGCCAAGCAGAAATAAAACTACCGAGTCAAACATTGCAAACAGATGCCGTGGCCAGAGCTCAGGGTCCGTGGCCAGATGCTCTTGTGAGCACCCGGGGAGGGGAGAAGCTGAGTCTGGTCTCTGCAGACTCTGCAGGTTTGGGGGTGCGGGTGCTGCTGGAATTGGAGCGTTGGGGGTCGCCGAGGGGCTTTCAGAAATGGAGACAGGAAGAAATAAAAGTAGAGAAGGGGCGTAACTTTCCTTTCTCTCTTTCACTTACTCCTTCCCCACACATAGTTCAACTTTGTGATTTGCCAATTTCTCCATTTTCATGGCACTTGCTTCCATGTAGAGATAAAGCCTAGGAAGGGATGGTTTTAGCCTCTCTGAAGTCCCCACTGGTTCTCCTAAAATACCCTAAGTAAACCATGCAAAGTCTCCTAAACCCTCTTTTAATAAGATTCTGCCTCGGAGCTCACAAGAAAGTTCTGGAACTTCTATCCTTATTCCTCATGTGGTCTCCTAACCCTTCTCTCCCACCCACCCCTGGTTCCTCTACTGAAGCTCCTAGACTGCAGCCGGCATGCCCTTCTTTAAGCACATAACTGAAAGCGTCATGCTCTTACTCTCAAACCTTCAGTGGTTCTCTATTGTCCCCAGTAGAGTTCCTCAGTTCTCTGAAGAGTGCATGCATCAGAGCCCTCTGGCCCAGATTCCAGGGCCACACTCCTGACCTATAGAATCCAACTTCTCCTGGTCTAGGAATCTGCAGTGCAAATAATCTTAAAATCTTTCTGGAAAAAGACAAGGTGTATTTATTATTATTTTTTAATGAGGACATTTGTAAAGTCAATAGGATGGGGCCAGGCATGGTAGCTCGTGTCTATAATCCCAGCATTTTGGGAGGCCGAGGCAGGTGGATCACTTGAGGTTAGGAGTTTGAGACCAACCTGGACAACATGGTGAAAACCCGTCTCTACTAAAAATACAACAATTAGCTGGGCGTGGTGGCAGGTGCTGGTAATCCCAGCTACTAGGGAGGCTGAGGCATGAGAATCACTTGAACCTGGGAGGTGGAGGTTGCAGTGAACTGAGACCACGTCACTGCACTCCAGCCTAGATGACAGAGTGAGACTTTGTCTCAAAAAAAAAAAAAAAAAAAAAAAAAAAAAGAAAAGAAAATAGAAAAAAGTCAACAGGATGATGTCAAGCTGAAATTTTCTATAGCACTCTTCATTCAGTTATTCAACAGATACTTATAGCACACACCATGTGCCAGGCACCATGCTAGGGGCTGGGTGCTGAGGATACAGCACTGACAATGTAAATAAGGCTCTGAAAGTCTTGGCATGTACTTCCAGTGACTTGAGAGGAGGTAGAGCTTGATAATAGCTGGATGGTACAGGATGATGTTATGGGGAAGCATCTGGGGCTAGCCTTGATGGAAAAGTCCATTATCCCCAAGGATGCGGGGTTGATGCTCCAGGTGGAGGCAGGGCTAGCAAAGGCTTTGAGGCGGGGGAATTGCAAAACAGGATTTTAGACATTTAGACTTAAGCGGCATCACAGACTTGGGAAGTAGGTGAGAAAAATGAGGAAATGGGAATCTTTGCTATCTTAGGCTGCTTATCTTTCCCAGAATCTTATCTTCCTTTCCCAGGAAGTCCCCCGGAGGTGCCTGCAGCACTCCTAGAAATGTTGGTTGAATGAATGAAAGAAGGTTGGTAGGAGAGGAGGGGGAGATAAAAGATACAAAAAAGAGGAAGGAACAAAAAAGAATGAATCAGAAGATTTAAAAAAGAGGAGGAGGCCCCATTGTGTAATTCATGAACTTGAGAAGCTATTTGGAGTAGGGATAAAAACATTTGTGTGTGTGTGTGTGTGTGTGTATGTATGTATAACAGGCACAGACTTTCAAAGCAATCAAAATAACTCTGATTAACACTCACCCACCCTCTCTCTCTCAAACTCATTTCCTCCCAGCCAAGGCCCAGGGCAGACACGACTGACTGTAACCCTAAGAGGGAGGAAAAGCTTGAGCAATTATTTTTATACCAAAAAAAAAAAAAAAAAAAAAAACCCTCAAAGATGCAGGCGTGCTCAGGGCCCCAGCCGAGCACTTTGAGCTTTGAGGTTTGAGCCTGTCGTATGCCCTTACTACCAGCACCCCATCTCTAAGCCTTCCTTCTCTCCCAGCCCCCACATGGTCTGGCCTCTATCTCCTGCCCGCCTGTGACTGACGGGCCAGGCCAGGCACCCCCAGAGACCACCCCCCTCCCCAGCTGGGGGCCTGTCCCCTCTGAAACTGATCCTGTACCTTTGGATCTAATTTGTTTCTCTGTCTGCCGGGTTTGGGGGGGTCTTGCCTGGAGACATGGTGGTCACAGGTGACATTAATCACGTCTGCATCTTCCGAGGGCTGAGGATAGGATATCAGAGAGGTGACCAAGCATTGGCCACATGATTCAAATCATCCCAGCATTGATTAATTGGGTTCATCCTGAGTTTCTGAATCATAACAACTGTTTTTCTCCTTCACCTCACGTCAACAGGCCCTTAAAGGGGAAGGATCCGTTTACCCATCGCATGTGGTGCATTAAGTTGATCAGCTCCTATTAAATGTTAAACGCTGGATGCGTTTTAGACAAACTCGATTTGCTCAAGATACTTTTCAAAGGTTCTGTGATGATAATTAGACATCTCTCTCCCTGCCTCGCCCCTTCCTCCGGCTTTCCTGGGACATGTTTTGGCTCCGGCCTCTGACAGATGGGATGAGGGAACGTGTGGGCTGATAGAGAGGGTCCTTTGGAGGGGGAACTGGATGCGGGGAGAGCCCCCTTAGGCTGTTTAAAAGAGATACAGTTTCTGAAAAGTTTAATAAGGCAGAAAACAATCCCGGATGCCAAATTTGCCTTCCAAAAGCTAACTATTCGGAATGCCTCCTGCCCCTACATGGAGGAGAAAATAGCGTTTCTCTAGCCAAAAAAGCTGTTTTCTAGAGAGGAGAAATTCTGTTTCTGCACGGGGATGGGTGCTGGAAGCTTAGTGACAAAAATGCAGAAACAAAACCCAGTTCTAATGCAAATCGGTGAGAGGAGAAAGAAAATCAGTGAGACGAGGATCAGCATGAAACAATAATCAAAGCTCAGGCTCATTTCTTTTCTCACTTTTGTTTTTGTTTTGTTTTTGAGACAGTCTCACTCTGTCGCCCAGTCTGGAGTGCAATGGTGTGATCACGGTCACTGCAACCTCTGCCTCCCGGGTTCAAGCGATTCTCCTGCCTCAGCCTCCCAAGTAGCTGGGATTACAGGTGAGTACCACCATGCCCAGCTAATTTTTGTATTTTTAGTAGAGATGGGGTTTCACCATGTTGGCCAGGCTCTTCTCGAACTACTGACCTCAGATGATCCACCCGCCTCGACCTCCCAAAGTCCTAGGATTATAGGCATGAGCAACCATGTGTGGCTTTTTTTTTTTTTTTTTTTTGAGACAGGGTCATGCACTGTTACCCAGGCTGGAGGACAGTGGTGCAATCACAGCTCACTGTAGCCTCAACTTCCTGAGCTCAAGTGATCCTCCCATCTCAGCCTCCTGAGTAGCTGGGACTACAGGTGGGCACCACCATGCCCAGCTAATTTTTTATTTTTTGTAGAGACGGGGTTTCGTTGTGTTGTCCAGGCTGTTTTCCAACTCCTGGGATCAAGTGATCCCCCAGGCCAGGCCTCCCAAAGTGCTGAGATTACAGGTGTGCACAGCTGTGCCTGGCCCAGGCTCATTTCTTACTCTGTTTCTCTCTTGCCTGTTAAAGAGAGCAGTTCAGCAGGGCTGCTATCACACTGGGTGAGTGACCTTGGAAAAGTCACTGTGTTTAACCTGAATCTCAGCCTTCGGTCTACAATAAGAAAATTAATACTATTCACTTCCACTGAGAAGTTAAAACTAAAATAAGGAATTTAAATCCCAGCACTTTGAGAGGCCGAGGTGAGAGGATCACTTAGACCCAGGAGGAGTTAGAGACCAGCCTGGGCAACACAGGGAGACCCCATCTCTACAAATAATATTTAAAAAGGAGGAATTTTAGTCAAATGGCTCAGCAAATGCTGGGTTCTTGGCAGACACTTGCCTAATAAATGTCTGTATGTTGGGGTGAGGGGTGGTGCTGTGCCAAAGACACCCTGGCCCTTCATATGTGTGGATTGGTTTGGTTCACAATGTTTCAAAATGTAGATGAGCTCCGAGGTTTAGCCAAAGGGACATTTTTGGCTGGAAAACATGAAAATGTAGAGCCAGCCTCCTAGTGTGGGCCTGGAAGCCCCCAGCAATGTTGGACTAAATAGTAAATTGGAAATTGATGAGCATGTCTGGAAGCCTTTCAGGGAGAATGGAGGCCGTTGACCCCCCACATAGCAAAAACCTCCCAGGAATCCTTGTCAGCAGTGTTTTGTCTCCTAATAACATGTTCAGTTATTTGAAATGACCCTGATCCTCTGTGAACACAGGCTTGTTTTCGGTGATGGACAGAAGGTGAGGAAGGTATTAGACAGGTTTGTCCAAACCCTGTGTGCCCTGGATGGGCTTTGGACTGCGGTGAATCTCATCACCATGAACCATGTTTCCCTGGTGGCTGCTGCTAATTGTTCTGTGGAATGACTGGGCTTTCCCGGTGCTCTGGCAGACAGAGGATGGACAGGCAGGCCACATATGGGGAAATAGGCAGAGATGGGGTAGAGGCCATGTAAGGAGAGGGAGAGACAGAGACAGACAGAGGAGAAATAGACAAAGAATGAAAGAGTCAGGCAGAGAGAGAGAGAGAAAGAGAGAGACGGAGAGGGAAGAGATAGAGGTTAAAAGTTTAAAAGTCTGAGAGCATGAAAGAAGCAGCAGAAGAAAAAAGAAAAGGGAGCGAGACAGAGAGAATTACCCACAAATTCTCTTTTCTACAGAAGAACAGAGCCAAGGAGAGGGTCAGAAATACAGACAACACCTGCAAAACAGAAACATGAAAACTCAGCTACATAAGGAGAAATAGAGACCGTGGCTCATGCCGGGAATCCCGGCACTTTGGGAGGCTGAGGTAGGCGGATCACTTGAGTCCAGGAGCTCGAGACCAGCCTGGGCAGCATAGTGAGATCCCATCTCTACAAAAACTTAGCTGGGCATGGTGGCATATGCCTGTAGTTCTAGCTACTTGGAAGTTGAGGTGGAAGGATCACTTGAGCATCCGGGAGGTCCAGGCTGTAGTGAGCCGTGATCGCACCACTGCACTCCAGCCTGGGTGACAGAGCGAGACCCTGTTTCAAAAAGAAAAAGAAAAAAATATAGGGAACAAGTGAATGAGCAGCGAGGGGACTTGCAAGGTAATATCTGGCACATGGAGGTGCTCTATCCCTAGGAAGCTGGCTGTCTTTTCTCTCCCAGAACATCGAGTCCCTCTCAGTGTCACCAGACCTCAAAGTCCCCCGGCTAGCCTGGTGCTCTTAGGGACACTACTGGGATATCACAAGTTAGACATCAGGGCTGCAAGGTGGGATTCCCTCAGGGGAGGCATGAACTGTGGAGAGGATCAAAGGGAGCTGGGGCCTTGGATTCACTGGCAGGACTGCCAGTAGGGCCCACAGGCCTCAATTCCTGGCGGAACCCCCAGGAAACATTCTGATGTGCAGATAGACATGCTCCAACTTCATGCAGGCGGCCTCCTCGCTCCCTCCCTCCCTCCTCGTCTTCCATGTTCCTTGAAATCACAGTTGAGGGTTGGTGAATGTTTAATTGAACTCAAGAGATAGCAGGGTCCTGCTTGAGTTTGTTTCCTTGTGTATACCATGACCATTGGAGTAAGCTGGAGTCTGCCTTACCAAGTTGTCCAAAGACCCGATGGCATGGTGTTAGTGCACTTTGGCGGAAGAACGTGCTCGTTTGGAGCGAGACATTCTTGGGAGGAGATCAGTTCCCTGAACCTTAGTCTCCTCCTGTGTGAAATGGGGGTGATATTATACAAATACGTCTCTGGCTGCATTGCTGGGAGCCGTAAATGTGATTGCTAATGCTGAAAGTGGAACCCGCGCCTGGCACATAGTAAGCGCTCGGCACTTGGCGGCTCTGGAGTGCTTAGAAGACAGAAGCCAGATCGCTATCCTGGACAGGGGGTGATATATGGTATCGAGCTCTGACTGAGAATTGAATTCAACCTCAGCCGGAGAATTAGAACATTGTGATTAGAAACAAGAAGAGGGAAGGGACAAAACAACCTGTCTTCAAGTGCATGATGACAGAGCACAGACTTTCCTGGCAGCCCGAGGGGCTGGGGAAGGACAGGGCAGATCATATTAATAACAATAAATTATATCTGCACTATGATTTATGGGTCCTGATGTGCTTCTCATTATGCTATCTTACAGTACCGTAGGAAGGGCTTATTATCCTTACTGCTGTGTGTTGCAGTGGTTTTAGTGTAATTGTTGCTGTTAGTGACCGTAGTGTTATCCATGCTATTATTGATGTTATTTCTCCTTGTTTCCAAATTGGGGAAACTGAGGCTCGGAGAGAGCTAGCGACTTAACCAAGGAAAAGGTTGGTGCTAGGATTCAAATCTAGGTTTTTTTTAGTCCTGGAGTTTTATTCTGGCTGCATTCTACGCTCTTACAATCCCCTTTCCACCCTGCCATTTTGCAACCTCTTTGGTCTGGGGAGTCTTGGTCCCTGTTTCCCACAATGGACAGTTTTCTCTCCTTGTTAGCCAGGGGTGATGGGGCTCAAGGGTCCTTTCTGTCTAACCACGAGGGCTTCCCTCTGCCTATAACCAACCAGCACTCCATCCCCAGGCCTATTCCTCCCTCATGGGAGCTCCAAGTTCAGTAAGAATCCCTGCAGGCAGCTACCCATTGCAAGGCAGGCAGGGGTGACACAGATTTGAACTTGAACTTTCAAGTCTTCCCCTTGGCTGGCCTCACTTTTGTCTTTGAACTCAGCAGCAGCCTGGCTGGTGGTTTACCCCACTTGTTCTCCTTCACTGCCTTCTCCTTTCCTTCTCTTCTCCCAAAGCCTGCTCAGGACTGAGTTGGTTAGGGACCAGGTTCATTTAGCATTTGCAGGATGAGCTATTTCAAGAATGTGCAGATTCAGTCTTGGAAATGGCAGAGGAGAAGCCTGGCTTGGCTTCTGAGCAGGAGAACAAATGAACCCCTGACCCCCCGCCCTTTCCCCATCCTGCGATTTCCTTTGTCTCAATCCAAAATCCCCCTTTACATGATCCTGGAGGCTTCCTAATAAAATAGAACTGTAACTTTATCTAAGACGAGTGCAGCACATGTAGAATGGATAAGGTGTAATTAATAACAGAAAATAATGCTTCCCCCTCCTGACCTTTCACCCTCATATAAGTGTCTTAAGTTTTATGACAGCTAAGCACAAAATTAGTGTGTGCATGCATGCGTGCATGTGTGTGTGTGTGCGTGTACTTCAGTGTGTGCGTTTGAGCTGAACCTATGTGGGGCCAATACGTCTGTCTAGTGAGCATTCACCTCACCCTGGCTGGAACTGGTTTACGTTTCTGGGTAGACTGGCCTCTCGCTGAACCCGGGAATTGCCTGAAACTGATCTGATTTCTTGAAGTGAGGATTCTGTCTGCATCACAAAATACCCCATGTCTACTTGTATGCAAATGTTTGGACAATGCAGAAAGCATGTATATATAAAAATACAAGGATGGCACGTGAGCATGAGCATGCACACACACGCACACACACACTCACATACTCACACTCACACACACACTATCCTTTGGGTTGTCTGTGATATTTTAGAACCCCAGGGGATGCTGGGGCAGGGCTATTGATACTTATTTGTGTACCTAACAGTGGGCAGGAAAGCAAGATGAGCAGTTCATTGGTTTTGATGCCGGAAATTCTTTGGACATACAAAGATCTCACGATGGAAAATACTCTCTTCAGCAATTGCAGTGCTCCTAATCCCCAGCATGGCATCTTCCTTGCTATTTATCTAGGGGCCAGCGAAAGACACGCGCTCGACTTAGCAAGATAGGGGCTAGACAAACCACGGTGAGGAAAACGGCACCTACAAGTCTTCCCAGACAGCTGTCTGCAGTTGAAATTGAAGTGAGTTCGAACCGATACTGTTTATCTTAATGATTCCACGGCTATGTTCGTTTTAAGTAATATTATCTTTCTTTAAAAGGTCACTGGGCTGGCCCAAGCTATTGGTTTCTCATGATTCATTACGTTTGATGTTCAACTTTTCTCGAAGTCCGCAACACCAACCTCTGGGTTAATGGAAGCCACACCAGCCATGAAGCCAGTAGCTTTGAATCCTCCCTGGATGGGGAGGCCTGGGCCAGGTGGAGTGAGCTGCTTGCTTTTGATCAGCAGTGCTGATGTGAACCAGAGGTCACGCATGTTTGGGGCCTGTGTGTTAGCTCTACCAGACAGCAGCAACTGGGCCTCGACACTCCCTCCCACCCCAAGCCCCTCGAGTTTCGTTTTCCATGGTTGTCCCTCTGTGGGCCGACTTTTTCAAGACCCCTAGGGCACCAGAAGGACTTTTGCTGGGGGGAGATCCAGAGCCCTAAATCACTGGAGAAGTCCCCTTTGTCCACTCCAGGGGTCTTCCTCTTTCCATCCTTGGCTGTTCCAGACACAGATACACCAGTTCCCGCTCCCTCAGGGAATTTCTGCTCACCAGTGACAGGTGGATTTGCAGGGAGATCTCTTCCTCGCAGTAGAGTCTTTGGGTTGTTGAGTTCTTTTATGGGCATGCTTGAACTCTGGAGAGCCCCCAGACTGACAGCCACCTCTGTCTGCTAAATCGATTGTAAATTTTCCTGGCATTATGTCATCCTGTCATCCTTTTACAGATGCTTTTGCCTGCCATATTTTTATGACTCTTCTTCCAAGAGGGGCTGCATGGAGGGTGGTGGGTCAGCGTTATTTATCTGGAAGGAGAAGAGCAGGAGAATTTCTTATCACTGGTATCAGAAAGTGGGATTTCCCACTTATCACCCCCTCTTTGGCTTTGAAGTTTAAAGGCAACACCAACTGGCTGGATCAAGTAGTTTAGGGAGTTCCTTAGGCTGCCATCTTTATAAAATTGACAATGACCAGAAAATGGGGGACTCCCACCCTCCCCTAATTTCATATCCTCCTAGATACTTAAAATCACAGTAGACCAGCCCTGGAGTTTGTTTCCAGGACAAGAAGATCTTGACTGGATTAACGTATTTCCCAATGGAGGCTCTGAGGCTTTGGCAAACATAATAAGAGGAGCAGCTCTTAAACAACAACACTTGAAAAATTAAACAAGTAATATATATTCATTATAGGAGAAGTAGAAAAGGCAGATAAGGAAAAAGAAGAAAATGAAAATCACCTGTAATCCCATTACATAGGGCTAACCATTCATAGTTTACCATATATCTTTCTAGTCTTCTTCTGTGTATGGTATATGCATTTTAAATGAAAATAAGATTGTATCGCATATACTTTTTTGCATTTATTTACTTATTTATTTATTAAGGAGACAAGAGCTGACTATGTTGCCCAGGCTGGTCTCGAAATCCTGGGCTCAAGCGATCCACCCACTTTGGCCTTCCAAAGTGCTGGGATTACAGGTGTGAGCCGCGAAGTCCAGCTTGCTTTTTTGTTCTTTTAGATGGGATCTCACTCTGTCACCCAGGCTGGAGTGCAGTGGTGTGATCATACCTCACTGTAACCTTGAGCTCCTGGGCGCAAGTGATCTTCCCACCTTGGCCTCCTGACTACAGGTGTGCACCACTATGGGACTACAGGTGTGCATATCCATGCCTGGCTAATTAATTTTTTTTTTTTTTTGGTAGAGATGGGGTCTTGCTCACTGTTGCCCAGGCTGGTCTTGAACTCTTGAGCCCAAGAGATCCTCCCACCTCAACCTCCCAAAGTGCTGGGATTACAAGTATGAGCCACTGTACCAGGCACATATCACATATACTGTCAATGGTTCTATTTATCAGGTAAATCATATACATATACATATATAATATTATAATATATTCTACACATAGTATATTTATCTATCTATTTATATGTATATTTTGAGATGGAGTCTCTCACTCTTGTCTAGGCTAGAGTGCAGTGGTGTGATCTCAGCTCACTGCAACCTCTGCCTCCCAAGTTCAAGTGATTCTCCTGCATCAGCCTCCTGAGTAGCTGGGACTTAACAGGTGCATGCCACCATGCTCCATTTATTTTTGTATTTTTGGTTGAGACAAGGTTTCGCCATGTTGGCCAGACTGGTCTCGAACTCCTGACCTCAAGTGATCCACCCACCTTGGACTCCCAAAGTGCTGGGATTACAGGCATGGGCCACCACGCCCAGCCTCTAATATATTTAAATAATACAGAAATAACAAGAACAATAAAAACCCAAATTGTACCCACTATTGACCTCCTAGTGAACACCTTTTTTTTTTTTTTTTTTTTTTGAGACGGAGTCTCGCTCTGCTGCCCAGGCTGGAGTGCAGTGGCGCAATCTTGGCTCACTGCAAGCTCCACCTCCCGGGTTCACGCCATTCTCCTGGATCAGCCTCCCGAGTAGCTGGGACTACAGGCACCTGTCATCACGCCCGGCCAATTTTTTGTATTTTTAGTAGAGATGAGGTTTCACCATGTTAGTCAGGGTGGTCTCGATCTCCTGACCTCGTGCTCTGCCAGCCTCGGCCTCCCAAAGTGTAGGGATTACAGGCATGAGCCACCGCACCCAGCCCCAGTGAACACCTTTCTAGATCTCTCTTTTCAGATTGTTTGCTAACCTGCTTTTACAAAGCTTAGCAATATAGAATGTGCTTCTCCATGCCAATAAATCTGTCTCTACACCAGGAGCTCAGTTGTGTTCCACTGTCAGGAGGCATCATGGGCCAGGCTCAGTGGCTCATGCCTATAGGCCCAGCAATTAATTTGGGAGGCCAAAGTGGGTAAATTGCTTGAGCCCAGGAATTCAAGACCAGCCTGGACAACATGGTCAAGCTTCGTCTCTATAAAGAATTTAAAAGTTAGCTGGGTGTGGTGGTGTGCTCCTGTAGTTCCAGCTACTTGGGAGGCCGAGGCAGGAAGATCCCTTGAGCCCAGGAGGTCAAGGCTGCAGTGAGCCACGATCGTGCCACTGCACTGCAGCCTAGGCACAAAGTGAGACCCTGCCTCAAAAAAAATAAAATTAAATTGAATTGAAATTTTATGACACACCAGGCTTTAGCTAATACCCGCCCCCTGCAGTTGTATAGGTAGCTTATTTCCAGTTGTTCACAAACACCTCTCAGCTTAGTTGCCAACACTTTTATCAGATGACATTTGCTTCCTACCCACAGCCTATCCAACAAAGGTGCTCCACCCCACCCACAACTCTGTTTAGCAAGATGGAAATTCAAATACGCTCAGAAGGTTTTTGTTTTTGTTATTGTTTTTTTTGAGACAGAGTCTCGCTCTGTCACCCAGGCTGGAGTGCAGTGGCACAATCTCTGCTCACTGCAACCTCCACCTCCCGAGTTCAAGCAATTCTCATGCCTCAGCCTCCCAAGTAGCTGGGATTATAGGCACGGGCCACCACGCCCGGCTAATTTTTATATTTTTAGTAGAGACAGGGTTTCACTATGTTGGCCAGGCTGGTCTCAAACTCCTGACCCCAAGTGATCCTCCTGCTTCAGACTCCCAAAATGCTGGGATTACAGGCGTGGGCCACCACACCCGGCTTTTGGTAGCAGAAAATCCAGTTGACAGTCATTTAAATGACGAGGGGCCTATCTTTCTCACATGATGAGTAGTCCAGAGGTGGGCTGCTGCCCTGTGAGGTCACCAGCATCCCAGTTTTCTCTATTACACTTCCACCGTCTTCAGTATTTTCTCTTGTTATTCTCATGCTTGCCTCTTGTTCAATGATGTCTGACTAAGCTCCAGGCATCACATCTCTGCCATTAAGACAAAGGAGTGGCACCAGAAAGAAGGCTTTCCTCTTCAGCATTTCTCCTTTATAAGAAATCAAAACTTGGCCACGTGTGGTGGCTCATGTCTGTAATCCCAGAGCTTTGGGAGGCTGAGGAGGGCAGATCACTTGAGGTCAGAAGTTCAAGACCAGTCTGGCCAACATGGCAAAACCCCGTCTGTATTTAAAAAACAAAAAATACAAAAAATTAGCTGGGTATGATGGCGAGTGCCTGTAATCCCAGCTACTCAGGAGGTTGAGATGGGAGGGTCACTTGAACACGGGAGGTGGAGGTTGCAGTGAGCCGAGATCATACCACTGCACTCCAGCCTGGGCGATGGAGCAAGACTTTATTTTATTAGCTCAAACTCTGCAACATGGTCAACTGTAACTGCCAAGAGGCCAGGAAGGTGAATCTTTCATTTTTTAGACTCATGGTAGGCGGCAGGAAGGGAGAGGGATGCTGGGACTGGGTGTTGCATCAGCTAAGCAGTGGTTTAGGCATAGCATCCAAAACATTCTCATTACAGCTAGGCCTGTTCTGGGCATTGCCTTCACCTATGACTCTAACTTCCCAGATCTCACCGGTCTCTTATGTCTCCAATCCCTGCTCCTAACTTTTTTTTTTTTTTTTTTTTTTTTGAGTCAGAATCTCACTGTGTCACCCAGGCTGGAGTGCAATGGTGTGATCTCAGCTCACTGCAACCTCCGCCTCCTAGGTTCAAGCGATTCTCATGCCTCAGCCACCTGAGTAGCTGTGATTACAGGTGTGTGACACCACACCTGGATAATTTTTGTACTTTTAGTAGGGACAGGGTTTCACCATGTTGGCCAGGCTGGTCTCAAACTCCTGACCTCAGGAGATCCACCTGCCTCAGCATCCCAAAGTTCTGGAATTACAGGCATGAGCCATTGCCCCCGGCCCCTAACTTTTCTTATTGTGTGGTCTGGCCTCTTGGTTTAGGAGATACATTTGGACTCCTTCATGCTAGACTTGGCTTCTTGTTCAACTCTTGCCTCTGTCTGGCAGATGCTTCCTACTTTGTAAAGTGCTAGAAAATTGGAAGGACTTGTTTATTTGCAAATGGAGTCAGTGCTGAGCTCCACAGTGCAGGGACTAGGAATTCCTTCTGTGAATTCCCAGTCTCCAGCAGAGAGGCCTTCACAATTTATGTCCATTTAACCCAAATAAAGGGAGGGCAGTGGGGCATCTTTGTAAACCCTTGTTATTGCACAGGTCATAATAGATGCAGGGCTGGCAAATGACGGACTGAGTCAGATTCTTCCAGGGGGCATTTCTTCGGTGGCCAGTGGTTAAATCTTGATTCCAGAAATGTTTACCAAGAAGAAACATTCTGTAGCATTAGAACTTGCACCCTTGAGAACGCTGCTTTGTAACTAGAATCATGGGATGCTTTTGAGTTGAACCATGCTCCAGTTTTTTTGTTTTGTTTTGTTTGTTTGTTCGTTTGTTTTAAGGCAGAGTTTCGCTCTTGTTGCACAGGCTGGAGTGCAATGGTGCGATCTCAACTCACTGCAACCTCCACCGCCCAGATTCAAACAATTCTTCTGCCTCAGCCTCCCAAGTAGCTGGGATTACAGACATGTGCCACCACACCCGGCTAATTTTGTGGATTTTTTTTTTAGTATAGATAGGGTTTCACCACGTTGGTGAGGCTGGTCTTGAACTCCTAATCTCAAGTGATCCTCCCGCCTCAGCCTCCCAAAGTGCTGGAATTATAGGCGTGAGCCACCGTGCCTGGCCCATGCTCCAGTTTTGTCTTAGGGGAGTTTTCTCTGCCTTATAGCCGCAAAGTCCGTGCTCTAGGGTGAGGTCTAAAGCTATGTGGAGAGAGTCTGTGGTCGGGTGTGCTGTGAACCTGAAGCTTAGAGCCAGATCTAGATTCATGATGATTGTTTCATGATTTACCAAAATGAGTCCATGGTCTAGACAGGATGGAAACAGAGAAACCTATTCTCCCAGTGTTTGTCAAATAAAACTGGAAAAAAAGTAACATTGATCATACAGAAAAAAATATAAAAAGGTGATGAAGAAAAAGAATGAAGTTTTTGGCTAGGCGTGGTGGCTCACAGCTGTAATCCTAGCACTTCGAGAGGCCAAGGCAGGAGGATCGCTTCAGCCCAGGAGCCTGAGACCAGCCTGGGCAACACAGGGAGAGACCATCTCTACAAAAAAGAAAAAATAAAAAAATTTAACTGGTGGTCCCTAAGCTACTTGGGAGGCGTAGGTGGGAGGAACGCTTGAACCCAGGAGGTTGGGGCTGCAGTGAGTCATGTTTGCACCACTGCACTCCAGCCTGGGCAACAAAGTGAGATCCTATATCTTACAAAAACAAACAAACAAACAAATAAACAAGCAAAGTGGCTGCCAGGAGCTGGGGGTGGGGAAAATGGAGAGGTGTTGTTCAGTGGATATAAAGTTTCAGTCATGCAAGATGAGTAAGATCCAGAGCTCTTCTGTACAACATTGTGCTATAGTTAATACAGTATTGTGAACTTCAAAATATGATAGGAGGGTAGATCTCATGTTAAATGTTCTTATCACAGGAAAAGCAAACAAAAAACAATAACAAAAACAAAAGCACACAGGACACTTAGGAAGGTGTTGGATATGTCTATTACTTTGAATGTGATGGTGGTAGCACGGGTGTCCACACACATTTGAACTCATCAAACTTACACACGTTAAATATATCCAGTTTTGGATATATACAGGCGCAGTAGCTCACGCCTGTAATCCTAGCACTTTAGGAGGCCGAGACAGGAGGATCATTTAAGCACAGGAATTCAAGACTAGCCTGGGCAAAATAGTGAGAACTTATCTCTATTTTAAAAAATAATAATAATAAAATAAATAAATATATCCCATTCTTTGTATATCTATTTCTCAATAAAGCTGTTAAAAAATACTCCTAGCTGGGCGTGGTGACTCACGCCTGTAATTCTAGCACTTTGGGAGGGCGAGGCGGGTGGATCACTTGAGGTCAGGAGTTTGAGGGCAGCCTGGCCAAGATGGTAAGATCCTGTCTCTACAAAAAAATACAAAAATTAGCTGGGCATTGTGGCGCTCGCCTGTAGTCCCAGCTA
Organism: Homo sapiens; assembly: GCF_000001405.40. Classification (NCBI taxonomy): domain Eukaryota; kingdom Metazoa; phylum Chordata; class Mammalia; order Primates; family Hominidae; genus Homo; species Homo sapiens. The sequence continues at coordinate 114,759,967 of NC_000012.12, forward strand.
CTTGGAAGGCTGAGGCAGGAGAATCACTTGAACCCGCAAGGTGGAGGTTGCAGCGAGCCGAGATCGCAGCACTGTACTCCAGAGTGGGTAATAGAGTGAGACTCTGTCTCAACAAAAAAGAAAAAAAAAAAAACAAAACCTATTTTATAGGGTTATTTTTATGATTCATTGGGTGAGTATTTATAAAGTGTACAGAAGACTACCTGAAAATAAATGCTTGAATGAGCTGTTGTAGTCTTTCTCTTGCTACGTGAAAGCCAGAAACAGGTATATTATCTCTGTAACCTCAGTGCCTGATATGCTCTGTCATTTGGAGGATGTTTGCTGAATGACTGTATGACCTTCAGTTGCTGGAGATGATGGTAGAAGGCTGACCTACCTCCCACATGCAGACAGTAGACACCTAAGCCTACAGCTAAGTCTGCCAGAAGTCCCACTTCCCAGCCTGTTTCCAGACTCATATGTCCTCGGGGGAGAGGGGTAAAAACAAAGAAAGCTCCAGATCCGGTTTGGCTAATGTGTGGAAAATTCCACAGATGCACTGTCTGGTCCCAATCGCCCTTCTCACTGCCACCAACTGCAGCATGGCAGACACACCAGAGAAAAGAGAAGGTGAAAACATTTCTGAATGCAGAAGCAAATTCAGCTGGTGCGTGGGGAGCACAATGTTCCAAACACAATTAAAACCCAATCAGCGTCCGGAAAAGTGCATTCATGTCCGTCAATCAAATGACAGAGCACATGTGGCGTAGGCATCTCTCTGGGGGCTGCTTCTTCAAGAGTCGTCATTGATGGCAGAGATGGCCCCCACCCAGGCAGAATCCAGCATAAGCCTTAGTCTCAGAGGCTGGGATTCCAGGTAGAGGAAGAAGCCTAGGACCTATCTCCAATTTTTTTTTTTTTTTTTTTTTTTTTTTTTTTTTTTGAGATGGAGTTTCGTTCTTGTTGCCCAGGCTGGAGTGCAACGGCGCGATCTCAGCTCACCGCAACCTCCACCTCCTGGATTTAAGCGATTCTTCTGCCTTATCCTCCTGAGTAGCTGGGATTACAGGTGCCCGCCACCATGCTCGGCTATTTTTTGTGTGTTTTTAGTAGAGACGGGGTTTTCTCCATGTTGGTCAGGCTGGTCTCGAACTCCTGACCTCAGGTGATCTCCCCGCTTCAGACTCCCAAAGTGCTGGGATTACGGCTGTGAGCCACCACGTCTGGCCTTGTTTTTTTTGTTTTTGTTTTGTTTTGTTTTTTTTTTGAGATGGAGTTTCACTCTTGTTGCCCAGGCTGGAGTGCAATGGCATGATCTTGGCTCAATGCACTCTCTGCCTCCTGAGTTCAAGCAATTTTTCTATCTCAGCCTCCTGAATAGCTGGGACTACAGGCGTGTGCCACTCTGCCCAATTTTTTTTGTATTTTTAGTAGAGATGGGGTTTCACCATTTTGGCCAGTCTGGTCTCAAACTCCTGATCTCAAGTGATCCGCCAGCCTCTGCCTCCCAAAGTGTTAGAATTACAGGCGTGAGCCACCGTGCCCGACTTTGTTTTCTTTTTAACTCTTGATGTATGTCGATGCTGAAGAGGAGAGATCAGCTGACTCTTCTTAGGAGCCCATTTCTTTTTTTTTGAGATGGAGTTTGGCTCTGTCACCCAGGCTGGAGTGCAGTGGCACCATCTTGGCTCACTGCAACCTCCACCTCCTGGGTTCAAGCGATTCTCCTGCCTCAGCCTCCTGAGTAGCTGGGATTACAGGCATCCGCCCCCATGCCTGGCTAATTTTTGTATTTTAGTAGAGACAGGGTTTCACCACGTTAGCCAGGCTGTTCTCGAACTCCTGGGCTCAGGTGATCCACCTGCCTCGGCCTCCCAAAGTGCTCCCAAAGGCGTGAGCCACTGTAGCTGGTCCCCATTTATTTTCAAGAAGGAATGAGAGTGGCTCATTGATTGAATCAACACATATTTCATGTGGGGCTGGGATTACGGATGGTGGCTCACATTTGTAATCCCAGCACTTTGGGAGGCTGAGGAGGATGAATTCCTTGGCCCCAGGAGTTCAAGACCAGCCTGGGCAACATAGTGAGACCCCAATTCTACAAAAACTTTAAAAAATTAGCCAGGCGTGGCGTCACAGGCCTGTGGTCCTAGCCACTAGGGAGGCTGAGGTGGGAGGATTGCTTGAGCCTGGGAGGTCAAGACTGCAGTGAGCCATGATCGTGCCACTCCACTCCAGCCTGGGTAACAGAGCAAGACTCTGTCAAAAAAAAAAAAAAAAAAATTCATTTGGAGGATGCTTCTATAAGCCCACTGCAGTGCTAGGTCAGTAGTTCTCAACTAGGGGTGATGTCCCCAGGTGACATTGTGCAATATCTAGAGACAATTTTGGTTGACACAACTTGGGGTGCATCTAGTTTGTAGAGGTCAAAGATACTGTTAAATATATTGCAATGCACAGGCCGGCTCCTATAACAAAGAATTACCCAGTTGGAAATATCAAGAGTGCTGAGGTGGAGAAACCCTGAGTTTAGGCCCAAGTGTTATACGACAAGGCCCAAGCGTTATACGACAAGACAGAACAAGACAGACGTGGTCATTGCGCTGGCTGGGTTTCCTTGAACTTGGCCGGCTTAACTATTTCTTTAAATAGCTGGATGTGGAGAGAGGCCCCTTTAAGGACAGTGTTGGTGTTTCTTTTCTCCTCTAGCGTGTGTCTCTGGGGCCTGCTGTGTGGCCGGGTGTTGGCTGGTGAGTATGTATGTGCGTGCGTGTGTGTGTGCGTGCGTGTGTGTGTGTGCGCGTGCGTGTGTGCGTGCGTGTGTATGTGTGTGTTCAGAGCTGTGGGGGGTGTCTGTTTGGACTTGTGCGGTTGTCTGTTTATGTCTGTGTACATCGGTGTGGCTCTGTAAGAACTTTTCTGTCATTTCCTTCCCCTGCTTGCCAGAGAGGCAGATGTGGCTTGCAACGTCCTTCTAAGGTCAAATTCATCACCAGACGAGATTAAGAAACCATTAGGGAAAGACCCTCCTTTGCTCCCTTCCATCTTCCCATCCAATCCCAATACCCTTCCACCCTCCCTGCCCCCACCTCGGGGATAAAACTAGAGGTCAGTAAACTTGCCTCTGAGCTGAAGCTTTGAACTTGAAGTTCAGGCTAACTCCACTGTGCCTGCCTAGGCATCCAGGAAGTATTAAAAATGGTGTTTCAGAGGAATCAAAGCACAGCCAGGACAATGATGGATCCAAACTGGAATTTTTTATCTCTGCATTATTAAAATTTGGGGCTGGGTAATTTGTGTGTGGCGGGGGGCGGCGGGGAGGGAGGCTGTCCTGGGCCTTGTAAGATGTTGTGCAGCATTTTTGGTCTGCATCCACTAGATGCACCCCCAGTTGTGACAACCAAAAATGTCTCCAGACGTTGTCTAACATCCCCTGACGCACACAATGAATCCCAGTTGAAAAGTCATCGATCTACAAATACATAGAGCAATGTGGTGAATCTCACGTGCTTAATTTTTTTTTTTCAGTATTGATGAGATACTTTTGGTAATAACGAGATACTACTGAATCAGCCCATTTTTTACTTTTTTTTTTTTTTTTTTTTTTTTGAGGCAGTCTAGCTCTGTCACCCAGGCTGGAGTACAGTGGGGCAATCTCGACTCACAGCAACCTCTGCCTCCCGGGTTCAAGCAATTCTTCTACCTCAGCCTCCCAAGTAGCTGGGATTACAGGTGCCTGCCACCATACCCGGCTAATTTTTTTATATTTTTAGTCGAGATGGGGTTTCACCATGTTGGCTGGGCTGGTCTTGAACTCCTGACCTCAGGTGATCCACCCACCTCAGCCTCCCAAAGTGCTGGGATTACAGGTGTGAGCCACCATGCCGGGCCTCACACACTTAATTTTGAAGGAAAGAAGCCAGCTACTCAAGTGTGATGTTGTGTGGTTCTGTTGATGAAAAGCACAAAAATATGCAGAGCTAATCGATTCTGTTAGATGTCAGGAGAGTGGTTGCTTTATCCTAGTGCATATTGACTGGAAGGAGACACTGTGGGGACTTCTGGGGATGTCTGTTTCTTTTTAATCTGAATGCTAGGTATGCATATGTTATGTGTGTAGTTTTCTGTGTATGTTGCACCTGAATTAGAAGCAGATGTGTGCTGAAGCTAGCGCAGTGGCTCACACCTGTAATTCTAGCACTTTTGGAGGCCAAGGCGGGCGGATCTCTTGAGGTTAGGAGTTTGAGACCAGCCTGACCAACATGGCAAATCCCCCTCTCTACTAAAAATACAAAAAAACTAGCCAGGTGTGGTGGTGCATGTCTGTGTTCCCAACTACTTGGGAGGCTGAGGCAGGAGAATTGTTTGAACTCGGTAGGCAGGCGTTGCAGTGAGTCGAGATCTCACCACTGCACTCCAGCCTGGGTGACAGAGCGAGACTCTGTCTCTACAAAAAAAAAAAAAAAAAAAAAAAAAAAAAAAGGAATATATGTGCTGAGAGGAGCACATATATTAAAGAAATACATTTGGAAAATCAGCACAGACTGTCTTAAAAAAAAAAAATCCTAACAGTACAGGTTTATCTTCCCAAACTCTGTAGTGGACAGTTTATGAGAAGTTTTATTCAAATGATTCTTACAGAATCCCCCCAGCTGTTTCTAAAGCTGCAGGGACAATAAGACCATGAAGCAATGATCTGATTGAAGAGAACACGTTGTCAGCCGCCATACAAACACACACTCACTCACACACACACACACCCTCAAACAGAGATGTCACGGGGCCTGTGTAGAATCGAATTTCCTGCCTTTGTGTTCCCCAAGCAGCCCTTCAGAGGAGAGAAAACTGCAAACTGACACATGAAATGGACCAATATGCCAGGTTGAGACTTCTACAAACAAATGGCCCTTTTCATCTTCTGGAGGGGAAAAAATAATCTACGTGGGCGACAATCAGAGCTTGCCTCTTTTCAGCCATTTAAAAGGAAAATGGGGCTGGGTGTGGTGGCTCATGCCTGTAATCCTAGCACTTTGGGAGGCTGAGGTGGGAGAACTCCAGCTCAGAAATTCGAGACCAGCTTGGGCAACATAGTGAGATGAGACCCTGTCTCTCTATTAAAAAAAAATAAAAATAAAAATAAAGGGAAAGTGAGTCAGCCCAGTAGCTCACATGTGTAATCCCAGCACTGAGAGGCCGAGGCAGAAAGATGGCTTGAGCCTAGTAGTTTGAGACCAGCCTGGGCAACATAGTGAGACCTCCGTCTCTACTTAAAAAAAAAAAATTAGCCAAGTATGGTGGAGTGCATCTGTAGTCCTAGCTACTCAGGAAGCTGAGGTGGGAGAATCACTTGAGCCCAGGAGTTCAAGGCTGCAGTGAGCTATGATCGTGCCACTGCACTCCAGCCTGGGCAACAAGCAAGATCCTGCCTTTAAAAATTAATTAATTAATTAATTAATGGAAAGCGTGGCTTCGCGGCTCTGTCCTGAATCCTATTCACGCATGCTGGTCCCATCTCAGTCCAGAGGACCCCAGAATATTACACTTGTAGCATCTTGGGTCATAATGGACACCAATGCAGCCACATGGATACCAAAAGCACAGACTATAGGCATTCCATATTTTCTTTAGTGTCCTCTTTCAGGGAAACCTGAGGAAGGTTCTGGAAGCAGGAGGATCCCAAAATGTGCCTGAGAGACCCCTGTCTTCATCCCAGAGGCCTCCTTAGACATCAGCATTTGGGGAAAAAACTGTGGACATTTGCTGCAGCCTCCCCAGCTGGTCAGCATTATTAAAGTGGGGCACATCTGTTCTTGGCTGTTAGCACGGAGAAGAGGAGGGGGTCGAGTGAGAGGAGAAATCCCCAAACGCTTGGACTGATCCCACCTAGTACTAAGAGCAAATTGCCTCTAAGTTGGCATCACGGAGAAGTGCTTCATGAAGGGGCAGAGATTCCTCATCAAAATACCCCTTCTTACCCACTTCCCTCCTGCCGCCCTTCCCCCTCCTCTCTCTGTCTAAAACTCCCCAGGTTCTAGCCAGTCTTGAGATTTATGACCTGTTTTATTTTGTGAACCCCCTAAGATCGTATTTGGGTGATGAGGAGCTGAGAGGTCTGCAGATAGCCTGTTGGTTGGAAAAGGGAGTATAAAGTATAATGAATGCAGTATATTTCCCAGTTGCTCTTTCATGCACATACATAAAGTTATAAATGCCCCCGAGCGTGTGGCAAGCACATAGCGGCCTTTGAAACACACACAGCAATATGCTCAGAGACAGCACCCCCCCCCCCCAGACCCATGCACAGCGAGGCATCACACGCTTGCAAACACATGCAAAAGACCCACAGGCGTACAGGAGCATATTCATGCACAAGCAGACCCATACCAACATACAAAACTAGAAACAGATGCAAACCAACATCCAACATCAGACCCAGATGGGGCTATGCACCCCAATATGCACCCCCCTACTGCTGCGGCCCCTCCAAAAAGTTGAAATGCACAGTGCTGGAAGGATCCTTTTAGCTCCCTCTTCAATTTCCCTTGCAATATGAATGTCTTCCAAATTGCAGCCCTGGGACCTACAAACTGCACTCCATTCTGCTTTCTTTTCTTTTTCTTTTTCTTTTTTTTTTTTGAGACAGACTCTCGCTCTGTTGCCCAGGCTGGAGTGCAGTGGCATGATCTCAGCTCACCGCAAGCTCCGCCTCCTGGGTTCAGCCATTCTCCTGCCTCAGCCTCCCTAGTAGCAGGGACTACAGGCGCCCGCCACCATCCCCAGCTAATTTTTTGTATTTTTAGTAGAGGCGGGGTTTCACCCTGTTAGCCAAGATGGTCTCGATCTCCTGACCTCGTGATCCGCCCGCCTCCCAAAGTGCTGGGATTACAGGCGTGAGCCACTGCGCCCGGCATTTTTTTTTTTTTTTTTTTTTGAGACAGAGTCTCCCTCTGTCACCAGGCTGGAGTGCAGTGGTGTGATCTTGGCTCGCTGCAACCTCCGACTCCCTGGTTCAATTGATTCTCCTGCCTCAGCCTCCCGAGTAGCTGGGGTTACAGGCACGCACCACCACGCCCAGCTAATTTGTGTATTTTTAGTAGAGACGAGGTTTCACCATGTTGGCCAGGATGGTCTAGATTTCCTGACATCATGATCCCCCCGTCTCAGCCTCCCAAAGTTCTGGGATTACAGGCGTGAGCCACCGCGCCTGGCCTCTACTTTCTTAATAAGACCTCCAGGCGCATGACAAAGCAGAAACCTTCAGAAACAAAATCTACCGAGTTCGAAGAACGGGCCTGGCCCAAGGCACTTTGGACGCTGTCCGTTCTGTCTTCACAGCGGCTTGCAGTAAACTTCTTGGAGGAGAATTGGCATTGCAAGGGTGTTACTGGAGACCTCGGCAAGAAAGTGAATGCAAAGACAGATGACCCAGGAACCCGTGATGGATAAGGCTCTTGACAGCCAGGACGTGGAATTACAGGGGGTCTCTTTGAGAGACAAAATAAAAAAAATAGCCCAGTAATCTTCCTTCCACCCTTTTCTCCCAGATCTAATTACAGATGTCTTGACATTCCTTCTGCATAGAATTTCCTTAAAAGATTTGCCAAGAAGAAACATTTGGAAACTGTGTTTTAGGTATAATCCGTCTGGGAGTCACTCTTGCTCGCTTTGTCGTTAGATGACAAAACGCTTAATTACAGCGAGCACAATGTATACCACATTTGGAAAACTGGATTCTTGACCTAAATAATGTACCCCATACTGACAATGGCCTTTTGGCAAAACTTGTGTCTCTGATCTCACATTAATTACTACACAAATATACTTATTGTGGGCACCGAGTTTATGGGATGGAGTCCTCTTGACACATGTTCACCATAAAAACACATTTTTTTCCCTTCCCCTGACCCTAAGGAAAAGAAAAAAAAAAAGATTAACATTTTTCAAGATGCTGTTTTAGTGACATGAAAACTGTCTGTTGAGTGTTCACTCGGCTTTTGTTCTTTTTCTTTTCTCCTTTTATTAAAAAGCCTTTCAAACCAAGCATTCCTGGTTTGTGATTCTTTACTTTTGCTTTTATGCTGAGGGAGAGACAGATTAGATTAGATTAAAGACCAAGGGACACCTCGTGAAATACATTCCATCTAGAGGCAATTTGGTTGAGAGGGCCAATTGTGTGTGTGTGTGCCTGTGTGCGTGCAGGCGTGCGTGTTTCTCCTTGTGGCATACTGGTGGTCTTTTTACAGATACAGAGTTCTGGTTTTTGGAAATGCGTTTATTCCTTTAGCCTTTTTCCCTTCAGAAGCCTGCAGCCTTTGATTGTGGCCTGACTTTTAGGGGTCTGCGGCATTTTGGGGGGTAGTAAATCTTATTAACTCTTCCCTTTAGTGTCTCGCCATTCTCAAAAACTTTTACAAAAAGCAGCAACACCGCCCTCACCAAAGACAGATGAAAGGAGCGGTTTCAAAGCCCCTCTCCCCCCTGCCCCAGCAGGCCCCCAGATTGGTCTGATGATGTCACAGGGGTAACCACGGCAACAGGCCGTGACATCATGACAAAAGGAGGACTGACCTTGGCCTGGAATTCAAAGCAAAAGCAGCTCATAAACTTCTAAAGCAAGCAGGAGATAAATATCCTTAGTCATAAAAGAACAAACGAAGTTTGGGGTGGGGGGACGGGGGAAAAAAAAGCAGAACTTTTTTTTTTTTTTGAAATACAGTAAAATGTGTTGCCAAGTTTTTCAGGAAGTGCTAGTGGCCATTTTGATGATGTGAACTAGATTTTAAAACAGAAAGAGGAAAAATGAATGTGGTGGACAAGGGCTGCTGACAATATTAGATAGAATCAGGTGAAACTTTTCCCTAAACTATAATTTGTAAAATGGGGGAGAGGGGATGAGCCAGACCAAAGCAAAACAACAGACAAATTCATTTCTGAGTGAGAGAAGGAATTACATGGCAGGAGAAAGGGAGTAATCCAGGAACTGTATTTATCAAAAAGAGAATGTGCTCAAGGCAACATAGTACTCCGGATGGGATCCTGGGCCAGAAAAATGGATGAAATCTGAAGAAGATCTAGAGTTTAGTTCAGAGTAATGAACCAATGTTGGTTTCTTAGTTTAAAGGATTTTTTTTTTTTGAGACAGGGTCTCACTCTGTTGCCCAGGCTGGAGTGCAGTGGCATGATTTCGGCTCATTGTAGCCTCCGCCTCCTGGGTTCAAGCGATTCTCTTGCCTCAGCCTCCTGAGTAGCTGGGATCACAGGCATGGGCCACCACACCCAGCTAATTTTTGTATTTTTAGTAGAGACAGGGTTTTACCATATTGGCCAGGCTGGTCTTGAACTCCTGACCTCAGGTACCCTCCCGCCTTGGCCTCCCAAAGTGCTGGGATTATAGGAGTGAGACACCATACCTAGCCAATTTTAATTTTAAAATTGTATTTATTGATTTATTCATTTATTTTTAGATTCAGGGTCTCTCCACCTCCCGGGCTCAAGTGACCTTCCCATCCCAGCCTCTTGAGTAGCTGGAACTACAGGGTCACCCACCACTTTTGACTAATTTTTTATTTTTTGTAGGATGGGGTCTTGCTATGTTGCCAAGGCTGGTCTCAACCTCCTAACCTCAGATGATCCTCTCACCTCAGCCTCTCAAAGTTTGGGGATTACAGGCATGAGCCTCCATGCCTGGCTTGCCTCCAGGAAACTTAAGGAAGTCCCCTGCGTCATTCTAGAAGGTGTTCTTGTCCTTAGAGTCTTCTATGAGTCTACTGGCCCAGTTTCACAAGAAAGCTTCTTTCTCTAGATGTCCTGAGGGTAGGCTGACCACACAGCGTAAGAAGCTTGTCTCCAGATGCCAGGAGGGGCGGTGAAATTACACCAAACTGGGAGTGGAGAGGGCCTGTCTCTGCTTTCACATGAACTTGCACGTGATATTGGGAAAGACAGAGCTTCATTTTTTCTGGTCCACAAAACAGGGTCATTGGGCAATAGATAACAATGGTAAACAGATTTCATGTCAGGTGCAAGCTGAGGCCCTGTCTATAATTTAAAAACAACAACAATTTGCCTGGCTAATTTAAAAAATTTTTAATTTTGTAGTGACGGGGTCTCACTCTGTTGCCCAGGCTGGTCTCAAACTCCTGGGCTCAAGTGATCATCCTGCCTCAGCCTCCCAAGTAGCTAGTTGGGATTATAAGCATGTACCACCCTGCCTGGCTCCTTACTTGTAAGTTTGAGTCAACTGATGGAGACTGGCTGGGGCCCTGTGTTAAGCCTGGGATCAATGAGAAGAAATGTGGTGGTCCATTAGTAATGTCTGCCATGGATGTGGGTTTGGAAAGTGGAAGCATGTGTTTGCCATTCCAAGCCCTTGTACACTTGGGCCTAGCCCCTCTGGGGCCTGCTAGTCTAGACAGATTCTTGTGTTTCCAGCAACACCCGTGTGGAACAGTAGACAGAACACAGTCCCTGGAGTCAGTGAGCAATGGCTTTCAGTCCTAGCTTTCTCCATGTACTTGTGATAAATGGCTCAGGGCATTTGGTAAATACGAGACACAATGTGTGAAGCTCTGTGCATACCCACTGCCATCTGGGGGAGAGAGACAACTTAACAGGCAACAAAACCACACTGTGCTGAGTGCTATGATAACAGAGTGTTCTTGGAGTACTGAGTAGGTGGACCCGACTTACACCTGAGGGGCAGGCAAGGAAGACTTCCTGGTGGAAGTGGTATCTAAGCTGATTTTTTTCTTTTTTTTTTTTTTTGAGACAGTCTCACTCTGTCACTCAGGCTGGAGTGCAGTGGTGCAATCTCGGATTACTGCAACCTCCACTATCTGAGTTCAAGGGATTCTCTTGCCTCAGCCTCCCAAGTAGCTGGGATTACAGACACCCGCCACCACGTCTGGCTAATTTTTGTATTTTTAGTAGACATGGGGTTTTACCATGTTGGCCAGGCTAGTCTCGAACTCCTGGCCTCAAGTGATCCTCCCATCTCGGCCTCCCAAAGTGCTGGGATTACAAGCATGAGCCACCGCACCTGGCTATCTAAGCTAAATTTTGAAGGATGAATTAAGTATTAACCTGGAGAAGGGAGCAGGGTGAGATGAGGATGGAGTCTGGCTGGGCTTAGATCATGTAGGGCCTGAAGAGCCTTCTTGTGAATTCCAGCTTAATTTTGAGGGTCATGGGGAGCCACTGAAGAACTTTATGAAAGAGAGTTTTATTAGCAAAAAGTCGTTCTGGCTTAAGAGATAGATTTGGGTAGGGGAAAAACTAAGGAAGCCCTTTTTAGAATCCAAGCAAGAAATGATGACACTTATACTATGCCATGGAGCACAGAAAGGCAGATCACTGAGAGATGTTCAGGGGATTGAATGGATGTGGGGGCACCCATTACTTAGGTCTCTGAGCCTCAGTTTCCTCATTTGTTTGAAGTTATTGTGAGGTTTAAATGAGATGATGTGTGTAAAGTCTCAGCATGGTTCCTGGTACACTGTAGGTGCTCAATAAATGCTAACCACATCCATTACGTCTTAAAAGTTCAGTAATTTCATTTTCCTTTTTTTCTTTTTTTTTTTTTTTAATAGAGATGGAGTCTCACTATGTTGCCCAGTCTGGACTTGAAGTCTTGGCCTCAAGCAAACCCCCTTGCGTCAGCCTCTGAAAGTGCTGGGATTACAGGCATGAGCTACCGTGCTTGCCTTCTCCTCCTTCTCCTTCTCCTTCTTCTCCTCCTCCTCCTCCTTCTCCTTCTTCTTCATTGTTAATTTTAGGTGCAGCAATTCCATCCAGGGGATAAAAGATTTATTTATTTTATTTTATCATTTTTTAAAATTTATTTTTTCGAGATGGAGTCTCGCTCTGTCTCCCAGGCTGGAGTGCAGTGGTACGATCTCGGCTCACTGCAACTTCCGCCTCCTGGGTTCAAGTGATTCTTCTGCCTCAGCCTCCCGAGTAGCTGGGATTATAGACATGTGCCACCATGCCCAGCTAATTTTTGTATTTTTAGTAGAGACGGGGTTTCACCATGTTGGCCAGGCTGGTCTCGAACTCCTGACCTCTGGTGATCCACCCTCCTTGGCCTCCCAAAGTGCTGGGATTATAGGCGTGAGCCACTGCACCCAGCCATAAAAGATTTATTTAACAAATGGTAAAACTGAGGTCCAGAGAGGGGCAGTGAAATGACCAGCACCAAGCAGCAAATTAGTGGCAGAACCAAGATTTGAACTCTGCACCTTTGTGATTTTGAGGTCAGTGTTCTTTCCTCCCTTCCTATTCTCCAGCCAGCTGGACCCCTGGGGGCTTCCTTTTGGTCAGAGGAAAATAAGGTCTCTGTACTGTGTTCAGTTGTATCTCTCAAAAAAATACGTTCAGACCGGGCGCAGTGGCTCATGCCTGTAATCCCAGCACTTTGGGAGGCCGAGGTGGGCGGATCACTTGAAGTCAGGAGTTTGAGACTAGCCTGGCCAACGTGATAAAATCCTGTCTCTACTAAAAATACAAAAATTAGCTGGGCGAGGTGAGGGGTGCCTGTAGTCCCAGCTACTTGGGAGGCTGAGGCAGGAGAACCTCTTGAACCTGGGAGATGGAGGTTGCAGTGAGCTGAGATAGCACCACCTCAGTCTAGGCTGGGAGACAGAGTGAGATTTTGTCTCAAAAAGAAAAAAAAAATGTTCAAGGCCAGGCATGGTGGCTCACACCTGTAATCCCAGTGCTTTGGGAGGCCCAGCCCAGGTGGGAGGAGTGCATGATGCCAGGAGTTCAAGATCAGCCTGGGCAACATAGTGAGACCCTGCCTCTACAAATTTTTTTTTTTTTCATTAGCCAAGCAGGGTGGCATGCACCTGTTGTCCCAGCTATTCTGGATGCTGAGGCAGGAGGATCACTTGAGCTGAGGAGGTAGAGGCTGCAGTGAGCTTTGATAGCGCCACTGCACTCCAGCCTGGGCAACAGAGTAAGACCCTGTCCCTTAGAAAAGACAATAAAGTTCAAGTCCTAATCTGTATACGTGTGAATGTGTATTTGGAAATACGGTCTTTGCAGACGTAATCAAGGCAGACCATTGGGAGATGTTCAGGGGATTGAATGGATTTGGGGGCACCCGTTACTTAGGTCTCTGAACCTCAGTTTTCTCATTTATTTGAAGACATTGTGAGGTTTAAATGAGATGATGTGTGAACAAATCTCAGCATGGTTCGTGGTACACTGTAGGTGCTCAATAGGAGGTCATATTGGATTAGGGTGGCTCCTAATCTAATGAATGGCATTCTTTCTTTCTGTTTTTTTTTTTTTTTTTTTTTTTTTGAGCTGGAGTCTCATTCTGTTACCCAGACTGGAGTGCAGTGGCACGATCTCGGCCCGCTGCAACCTCTGCCTCCCAGGTTCAAGTGATTCTCCTGCCTCTGCCTCCCGAATAGCTGGAATTACAGGTGCGTGCCACCACACCAGGCTAATTTTTTTTTTTTTTTTTTTTTGAGACGGAATCTCGCTCTGTCACCCAGGCTGGAGTGCAGTGGTATGATCTCGGCTCACTGCAACCTCCGCCTCCCGGGTTCAAGCAATTCTCCTGCCTCAGCCTCCTGAGTAGCTGGGATTACAGGTGCCTGTCACCCTGCCCAGCTAATTTTTGTATTTTTAGTAGAGACGGGGTTTCACCATGTTGGTCAGGCTGGTCTCAAACCCCTGACCTCGTGATCTGCCCACCTCGGCCTCCCAAAGTGCTGGGATTACAGGCATGAGCCACCACACCCGGCCCACACCTGGCTAATTTTTGTGTTTGTATTAGAGACCAGGTTTCGCCATGTTGGCCAGGCTGGTATCCAACTCTTGACCTCAAGTGATCTGCCCACCTCAGCCTCCCAAAGTGCTGGAATTACAGGCGTGAGCCACAGCGTGCGGCACCAGCATTCTTATAAGAAAAGAGAAATGGACGCAGAGGTACACAGAGAGAACACCATGTGAAGACAGAGGCAGAGATTGGAGTCGTTCTCATCTACAAAGCTGAAGAATTCCAAGGATTGCCACTAATCACCAGAACCCAAGAGGGGAGCAAGGAACAGATTCTCCCTCAGAGCCTCAAAAAAGAAACCAACCCAGTGAACACCTTGATTTCTGACTTCTGAACTCCAGAATCACAAGAGAACACATTTCTCTTGTTTTAAGTCACCCGATTTGCGAATTTGCTATACTTCCTTTTGGCAACCATGGGAAACAAACACAGTCGCTAAGAAGGTGTCTCGCTCTCAGATTTTATCAGCTATCCTCACTGCTCTGGACCTAGGCTCTAGGAGACAGTTTGGAAAGGAGAGACGGCGGCTGGGTGAGAGGACAGAGGGCTTGGGAGCCTGGGGGTGGCATCACAGGATTTCTCCGCGTCACCTTGGTCGGTGACATGGTTTCCTGAGCATGTGCGTCAGCCCTTGGAGATGTCCAGCGTAAGTCAAAGCCTTTGTTCCCTACGATAACCTTGAGAGATGACTCAGTAGAGAAGAAGGCAGGCTGTGGGGTGGGGGAAATGGTCAGTGCAGCTACAAATGAGAGCCTGTTCCTGGCTCAAGGGGAGGACAAGGCAGAAAAACAACAACAGTAATTACCATTCCCTGTTGTTTCCCTGGACCGACCTCCCCTCGTCCTCCACCCGGATGATCCTGAGGCCTAACTCTCCTCTCTGTCCTCACCCTGCACCCATTCTTCCCCACCATCTGTTTTATTATTTTTTTAATTCCACTTTATGGAGAAATATAACTTACATAAAATAAAACACACCAATTTTGAGTGTAGAGTTCAATAAATTTTGATAAAATGCTTATCAAATCCTACCCGATGATAAAATGTTTATCAAAACATAGTGTTGTGTAACCACCAACACAATCAAGATGTAGAACATTCTTCTTCACTCCCTAAAATTCCCCCTCCACGCTCCCCAGCTACCTGCCCACACCCACCCATTCCCTCAGGCTTCTGGCGACCATTGATCTGCCTTTCGTCACCGTAGATGAGTGCAATCATTTCTATCCTTTCATAGAAATGAAATTGCCCAGTATAAACTTCTCTTTATCTGGCATTTTTTGTGTTGTTCAGCATCATGTTTTTGAGCTCAGCTTTCATGTTGTTGCAGAGATCAATGGTTGCTTTTTATTGATGCATAGCCCTCCATTATAGGAGAGTACTACAGTATAGTCATTGACCTGTGGATGGACACTTATTTCCACTTCTTTCCTCTTATGAATAATGCTGGTAGGAGCATACAAGTTTAAGTCCTGACCAGTCTTGGTGGCCATGTCTATACTCCCAGCACTTTGGGAGGCCGAGGCAGAAGAATCGCTTGAGGCCAGCCTGAACAACATAGCGAGATCCCATCTCTACCATAAAATGAAAACACTTCATTTTTGTTGTGCGCTGGTAGTCCCAGCTACTCGGGAGGCTGAGGTGGGAGGATCACCTGAGCCTAGAATTTCAAGGCTACTGTGAGCTGTGATTACGCCACTGCACATTAGGTAATGCAGTGTGGAGTGAAGTGGTGCAATCACAGCTCACTGCAGAGTGAGACCCTCTCTCTCTTTTTTTTTTTTTTTGAGACGGAGTCTCGTACTCTCCCCCAGACTGGAGTGCAGTGGCGCGATCTCGGCTCACTGCAAGCTCCACCTCCTGGGTTCACGCTGTTCTCCTGCCTCAGCCTCCCAAGTAGCTGGGACTACAGGCGCCCACCACCATGCCCGGCTAATTTTTTGTACTTTTAGTAGAGATGGGGTTTCACCATGTTAGCCAGGATGGTCTCGAACTCCTGACCTCGTGATCCGCCTGCCTCGGCTTCCCAAAGTGCTGGGATTACAGGCGTGAGCCATTGCACCTGGCCGAGACCCTGTCTCTAATTAAAAAAAAAAAAAAAAAAAATTGTAAGCCTTTTTGTGGACATATGATTTTTTTTTTTCCTGGGTAGATATTTAACACTGAAATTACCGAGATGTATGGTAAGTGTTTGACTTTTTACCCCAATATAAGCAATTTAAGAGCTAAAACAATAAACTTCTAGAAGAAAATACACTAGAAAATCTTTGTGACCTTGGACTGGAGAAGATTTCTTAGTTGGTATAAGAAAAGCATAAACCACAAAATAAAAATAAATGACTTTATCAAGATGTAAGACTTCTGTATTTTGAGAGACCCTGTTAAGAAAATGAAAAGGCAAGTCATAGTCCAGGAGACATAATTTGTAAATCATATTTGACAGAGGATATGTATCAGAATATTAAAAGAACATCTGTAAGTGACTAATCGGAAGATAAATGACACAATTAAAAAATGGGGGCTGGCTGGGTGCCGTGGCTCACGCCTGTAATCCCAGCACTTTGGGAAGCCCAGGTGAGTGGATCACTTGAGCCCAGGAGTTCGAGACCAGCCTGGCCATCATGGCAAAACCCCATCTCTACTAAAAATACAAAAATTGGCTGAGTGTGATGGCCCATGCCTGTCATCCTAGCTACTTGTGAGGCTCAGGTAGAGGAATCACTTGAACCCATGGCTCTGCACTCCAGCCTGGGCAACAGAACAAGACTGTCTTAAAAAAAAAAAATGGGGGTGGGCGGCCGGGTCTGGTGGCTCATGTCTGTAATCCAGCTCTTTTGGAGGCCAAGGCTGGGATTACAGGCGTGAGCCACCACATCTGATGGTTCACTTGGGAGGACTGCTTGAGCCCAGGACTTTGAGACCAGCCTGGGCAATATGGTAAAACCCTGTCTTTACAAAACTGAAAAATTAGATGAGTGTGGTGGCGTACACCTGAGGTCCCAGCTACGCAGGAAGCTGAAGTGGGGCAATCACTCGAGTCTAGGTGGTCAAGGATGCAGTGAGCTGAGATCACACCACTGCATTCCAGCCTGGGTGCAGAGCGAGATCCTGTCTCAAAAAATAAAATAAAATAAAATAAAAATAAATAAATAAGGCCGGGCACGGTGACTCATGCCTGTAATCCCAGCACTTTGGGAGGCTGAGGTGGGTAAATCACGAGGTCGAGATCGAGACCATCCAGGTCAACGTGGTGAAACCCTGTCTCTACTAAAAATAGAAAAATTAGCTACTCCAGAGGCTGAGGCAGGAGAATCACTTGAACCCGGGAGGCAGAGGTTGCAGTGAGCCGAAATTGTGCCACTGCACTCCAGCCTGACGACAGAGCAAGACTCCATCTTAAGAATGAATAAATAAATAAATAGGCAAAGGGATTTTCAAGACACTTCACAGAAGGAGCTATGTGAATAGTCAAAAAGCACCTTAAAAAATAACTACATCATGAATCATCAGGAAAATAAAAATTAAAACCACAATGTGGTACCACTCATAATGTGATACCACAGCGATGGCTGAAATTAAAGACTGGTCATTCCAAGTGTTGAGGAAAATGGGGAGCAACTGGAATGTTCCAACTCTGCTGGTGGGAATGCAAAATTAGATCGCCAGTGTTGGAGAACGTTTGTCAGTTTCTTCCAACAGTTTGCTTTTGTAATTAAAAAAATGAAAACAGCTTTTAAAATCCTCCAGTGGCCTCACATGGCATTCAAATAAAATCCAAACGTTTTCTTTTTTTCTTTTTAAATTTTTCTAAAATTTTAATTATAAATCCAAACTTTGATCTGTGTCCTACAAAGCCTCTAGTTCACGCCCCTGCAGCCACACAGCACCTGGTTCTGATCTTTAAGTGGAGAAGGCACCTTTGCTCTTCCCTCTGCCTGGTGGTCTCTCCTGAGCCCTTCCTAGGATGGACTCCATGACCAAGTCTCTCCTCAGATGTCCTCTCCGTACAAAGAAGGTGTTCCTGTCCCTCACCATTTCCTTTACTGTGTCTTATTTACCTCTGAAAATCTCCTATGAATTTGCCTGCCATCTGCCTCCACTCTCCCAGCTCTTCCAATGAGGAAGGAGGCTCCAGGAGGGCGGGAACACCATTTCTCTGTTTAGCACTGTGCCCCATAACGCAGCTCCCAGCACATAGTAGGACCTTCATAAGTGTTGAATCCATAAGTGTCTTCCATAGGGACAAAGAAAATGCAGATAGTGATGGCAGAACTGGGACTCAAACCTAGCTCTCTCTGGCTTTAAAGACATGGTTCTGGCTGGGCACAATGGCTCATGCCTGTAATCTCAGCACTTTGGGAGGCTGAGGGGGAGGACTGCTCTAGCCCAGTAGTTTGAGACCAGCCCGGGCAATATAGCCAGATACCATCTCTTAAAAAAAAAAAATGCTGGATGTGGTGGTAGGTGCCTGTAGTCCCAGCCACCTGGGAGGCTGAAGCGGGAGGATCACTTAAGCCTGGGAGGTCGAGGCAACAGTGAGCCATGAGGGTGCCGCTGTGCTCCAGCCTGGGCAACAGAGCAAGACCCTGTCTCAAAACAACAAAACCCCCCAAACAAAACAAAACAAAAGACTTTTCTAAAACATCTTGTTGTACGTCATACATATATGCATATTTATTTATTTATTTATTTATTTATTTATTTTTGAGACAGGGTCTCACTCTGTCACCCAGGCTAGAGTGCAGTGGCACAATCTCAGCTCACTGGAACATACACCTCCCAGATGCAAGCGATTCTTTTGCCTCAGCTTCCCGAGTAGCTGGGATTACAGGTGCGCACCACTATGCCTGGCGAAGTTTTCTATTTTTAGTAGAGACAGGGTTTCACCATGTTGCCCAGGCTGGTCTTGAACTCATGACCTCAAGTGATCCATCTGCCTTGGACCTCCCAAAGTGTTAGGATTACAGGTGTGAGCTACTGCGCCTGGCCAATTTTTATTTTTATTTATTTATTTATTTTTTGAGACAGAGTCTGGCTGTGTCGCCCAGGATGGAGTGCAGTGGCGCGATCTCGGCTCACTGCAAGCCCCGCCTCCCGGGTTCACGCCATTCTCCTGCCTCAGCCTCCCGAGTAGCTGGAACTACAGGCTCCCGCCACTACGCCCAGCTAATTTTTTGTATTTTTAGTAGAGACGGGGTTTCATCGTGTTAGCCAGGATGGTCTTGATCCTGACCTCGTGATCTGCCTGCCTCGGCCTCCCAAAGTGCTGGAATTACAGGCCAGTTTTTATTTTTTAATTAAAAAGTAAGTTCAAAGGAGGTCAGGTTTTGCCAGTAAATTCATTATGGAAATAACTGCCACTTTCCAGAGTTCTGGGCTGTTGGAATTGTGAATATGGGCCTGAAGACCTGTGCTGAATTATTCCTTCACAAATGAAGACGCCCTCTGGGTAAAGAATTTGGGGTCCTTGTTTAAAGGACAACGTTGATAATGATGATTTGGATGATTTAGAAAAAAGACATAGTTCTTGAAGATCACCATCAAGGTGGGGCTAAATGCCTGCAAGGCATGTCCTTGATTCCAACCTTAGGGAACTAGACTCTCCTGCTAGTCAAATGAGGGAGAATTCCAGAGGGAACATGCCAAGTTAGGCTCCCAGAATGAGAGTAGCCTGAAGGAGAAGCCCAGACTGCATTACTGTGAGGACAAAAGGAGCTCAGCTGTGACTTTCAACACTTTGCTCTCCCTTTTTGAAGTCAGGGAGTGAAACAGTGAATTGTTGAGGCTCTCACCCATTTTCCGTATGAGGAGAGAAAGATCGTAGGAAGGATACAGGTCAGGGACAGGGCTGAGGACAAGGGGCTGTTTTCATGTTGGTGTGCAGTTGGCAGAGTTTGAGCTGGACCTCGGAGCTCATCTGGTCCAGTTCCCTGTTCCACAAATGGGGAAACTGAGGCCCTGAGGTGGAGGTGGAAGAACCACAGAAGCCTGGGCTAGTCCTCAGAGTTTGGAAGGGCAGGATTTTACTGGACTTTGGTGCAGTTTTTCTCCCTTCCTTCCTTCCTTCCTTCCCTCCCTCCCTTCCTTCTTTCCTTTCTTTCTTTCTTTCTTTCTCTTTCTTTCTTCCTTTCTTTCTTTCTCTTTTTCTCTTTCTTTTTCTTTCTCTTTCTCCTTTCTTTCCTTTTCTTTCTTTTTTCTCTTTTTCTCTTTTTCTTCTCTCTTTTCCCTCCCTCCCTTCTCTCTTTCTTTGTTTCTGTCTTGCTTGCTTGCTTGCTTCACTCTTCCTCTCTTTCCTTTTTTTTTTTTTTTTTAAAGGGATGGGGTCTTTTTCTGTCTCCCATGCTGGAGTATAGTGACACGATCATAGCTCACTTCAGCCTCAAACTCCTGGGCTCAAGCAATCCTCCCACCTTAGCCTCCTGAGTAGCTGGGGCCACAGGTACACACTACTGTGCTTGGTTTGATACAATCTTTTTGAGCAGAGACCTTTGTAAAAATGTAGAACCAGAAAACCAGGCAGTGAGCAGGTGGTTGAGAGCCTGGGGTCAGCCAGACCAAATTTTAGATTTGGCTCTGCCATTTACTTATTTGAAACCTTGAGTGAAGACTTCTTAACTTTCTGAGCCTCAGTTTTCTCATCTGTAGAATGGGGATGATAATAGTCATTTTGTAGGATTCCTAACTTCTTTAAATGAGAAAATACATGTTACTTAGCTCTATGCCTAGTGCTTGGCAGGTGCTTAATAAATTGTGCCAATTATGATGATTATTGTCATTACACCTTCTAGAACTAAAGTGGGGGTAGCAGAGTGATGGAAAGAGGGCTGGAGTTAAGGCAGATGTTAGTTAACTAGCCTGGAGTCTCCAGAAATCCAAATCCAGCATTTGAAGCAGGAAACCCCACCTTGAGGCCTCCATCAGACCTGAGAATTTCCAGAGTGCTTCCCTGGGACCCAGGTAATCTAATTTCGGGGAAGGAAGCGGGAGAGCTAACTGGTCATCAAGACACCATTGAAGAGTGACCCAGGAATTCTGTTCTTCCCTGTCAAGATGGAGACTTTAGGCTGGTTACTGAATCCCTCAGTTGATCTCTGTAAAAATGGGAAGGCCATTCCCTCTCTCACAGGATTGTGGAGACAATGAAACAAAGAGAGGTATATAAAACAACCAAGCATGGCGCCCACACTCAAGAGACCTTGGTGCAAAGGAAGCACGTGGGCTGCACCAGTCACTGCCTTCACTCCACGTAAGTGGGTGGAGTTTCTGAAGTTGCCCACTTGGCTCCAGAAGAGAAAGACTCCTAGACATTTTAAGCAGTCTGGACATGCCTGAACTTGCAGATGCCATTTTGAATCCAAGGGGCCCTTGACTGAAAGGAGAGCATCCAGGGAAAATGCATTTGTGCAACTTGTCACTCTGTCTAGATCAGTGCAGATTTTTTTCCAGCCCAGGGAGGGGAACGGGAATCTTTGGCTTGTGAGCCTTACACACCGTTTATCTCATCTGCTTGTCACAATAGTCTGGAAGATAGGCCAGGGAGATGCTAATGTTCCCAAGACCCTGGGGAGAGATCAGCTGCTTGACTTCAAGGAGACTCCATCCAATCTGAGGGATGGAGGATGAGGGATTACAACAACCTTGCAAGGAATTAGGCCCCCAGGCCAGAGGGACAGGTCTTGGGCATTTATTCAAATAAGCGAGCAAGCATATAAGCAAATACAGTGATGGATTTTATTTATTTGTTTATTTTTGGCTTCCTGCGGGTCTCCCAAGATGCTAAATGAAACAAGAAAAGTCAAATTCAGGGCGGGCGCGGTGGCTCACGCCTGTAATCCCAGCACTTTGGGAGGCTGAGGCGGGCACATAACCTGAGGTCAGGAGTTTGAGACCAGCCTGACTAACATGGGGAAACCCCGTCTCTACTAAAAATACAAAAAAATTAGCCGGGTGTGGTGGTGGGCGCCTGTAATCCCAGCTACTAGGGAGGCTGAGGCAGGAGAATCGCTTGAGCCGGGGAGGCAGAGGTTGCGGTGAGCCGAGATCATGCCATTGCACTCCAGCCTGGGCAACAAGAGAAAAACTCTGTCTCAAATTAAAAAAAAAAAAAAAAAAAAGAGAGAGAAAAGTCAAACTCATCAAAGACAATTGGGAACAAAGAAGGAAGCTAACACTTAATGTGCTCCCACTATGCACCACAAATCCTGTAAAGTGGGACTTACAAATTCCCATTTGACAGATGAGGAAATGGAGGTTTAGAGCTGTTAAATGTCTTGCCCAAAGGCCACCCAGCTGTTAAGATAAGAAAGCAGGCCAACGTGGGCAGATCACGAGGTCAGGAGATCGAGAACATCCTGGTTAACACGGTGAAACCCCATCTCTACTAAAAATACAAAAAATTAGCCAGGTGTGGTGGCAGGCGCCTGTAGTCCCAGCTACTCAGGAGGCTGAGGCAGGAGAATGGCGTGAACCCAGGAGGCGGAGCTTGCAGTGAGCCGAGATTGCGCCACTGCACTCCAGCCTGGGTGACAGAGGGAGACTCCATCTCAAAAAAAAAAAAAAAAAGAAAAGAAAGCAGGGATTGGCTTCTATTCCACAATGAATAGATTCCTCCTTCCACTCCTAGTTTAACTAAATAATATTTATCACCTATAATGTGTGTATACTATAGGTTCCCTTGACCTCTCTGACCCCTGTTTACATCTCCTGCTACTCTTGCCCTTGTTCTGTGGGTCTAGGTTACCCCACCTTCTTTCCCTTTGAATAGTCTCTCCTCTCTCCACTCCCATTTTTTTTGGTTTGGTTTTTTTTTTTTTTTTTTTTTTTGGAGACGGAGTCTCCCTGTTGCCCAGGCTGGAGTACAGTGGTGTTATCTTGGCTCACTGCAACCTCCGCTTCCTAGGTTCAAATGATTTCTCCTGCCTCAGCCTCCCAAGTAGCTGGGACTACAGGCACATGCCACCATGCCCAGCTAATGTTTGTATTTTCAGTAGAGATGGGGTTTTACCATGTTGGCCAGGCTGGTCTCGAACTCCTGACCTCAGGTGACCCATCCGCCTCAGCCTCCCAAAGTGCTGGAATTACAGACGTGAGCCACTATGCCCGGGCGTGTGATTCTTTTATTAATGTCTCTGCACTGCACCAGACTTTAACCTCCGTGAAAGTAGAGAGCTCGGCCGGGCATGGTGGCTCATGCCTGTAATCTGAGCACTTTGGGAGGCCGAGGTGGGTGGATTGCTAGAGCCCAGGAGTTCGAGGCCAGCCTGGGCTACATAGTGAGACCCCTGTCTTTATTTTTTTTTGCAAAATAATAATAACAATTTATTTTTTTTGCAAAATAATAATAACAATAAAAGAAAGTAGAGAGCTCATCTGTCTTGTCCATGACTGCATCCAAATATTGGTGGAAAAGTAGGGAAGTTCCCGAGAAGACCCCAACCGAGGGAAAGAATTCATGAACACACAAGCAAGGAGGGAGACAGAGGAGCCCCGAGAGGTGGGCGGTCTCCAAGATGCCCTAGAAAGAACCCTTGTCACGCCTCCTGTCCTAGCTGCTCAGATTTCAGGCAAAGGTGAAGGGCCAGACGTTCTCCAGGGCTCTCACTACGAAGCCAGTATGTATTTTGTATGCCATGTGTTCATGTTTTTCCCTTTGAAGACTGCCTGGGAAAGGCTAACAGTCATGGAAGTAACAAACATATTGTCTTCTCTTCTCTTGCCAAAAGCAATCTTTAATCACCCTACCAAGTAATGGGCTCAGAATAGCATAATGGAAACAAAGTACTTAAAATACTTGCTTGGGTGGATAAACACAGCAGAGTTAAAAAAAAAAAAAAAAAAGTCTTACACGTCCAGCCCCATCCTTTTTATTGTATACACAGCTAGGAGATGTGGAAGGAAGAGAAGAAATCCCTCCAGAACAAATAATTGTAAATATACAGAACATACATATTTTAAAGGGCAGCATGGTGGTTCATCCATCCTAAGGATATCTTTGTATTTGTGGTCCCTCCCAACCCCCCCTCTTTTTTTTAACCAAGTGACAAAAAGTAGGTCTGATATAACCAACCGGTGGAAGGGAGCTCTCAGAGTCTTTGAACAGGGTCTTTTTCAAATCTCTTTATATGTGAGAACATTAGGCGAGAGGAATGTTAGGAAAATTAGGGTAGGTGGTATTGGGCAGAGTTCCTTGTGAAACTGAGGGTTTAATTTGTGCTCAGAAGAGAGGACTCTTGCTGATGCCTACTTTTGCTCAAGTCAAAGCCAGAAGGAAGTGGCAAAGCTCTGGGTTATAGAAGTCAGGCTGCTGGTTGGGTGTGGTGGCTCATGCCTGTAATCCCAGCACTTTGGGAGGCTGAGGTGGGAGGAACACTTGAGCCCAGGAGTTTCAGACCAACCTGTGCAACATAGTGAGACCCTGTCTCTTTTATCTGAAAAATGTATTAAAAATATAAAAAATAAAAATAAAAGAATTCAGGCTGCAGCCTCCTAGTGGGATGTCCAGTGTGGTATTACAGAAAACAGATATTTAAGCCACAATGATAGACTCTGGAAATCATCACGTCCTCCAAGGACCCTTTCTAGATTTCCTCAGTTGGAATTTATCTCTCTCTACCATGAGAGGAACAAGACAAGAACCAGGCCATGCCTACAACTTAAAAACTGTAATCTTGGACAAGTTGCTTATTTTCTCTGAACTTTAGCTTTCCTATCTGTAATGTGTAGACAAAGAGAGAAATACATAGCCTGTGATCGGTTTCTAATGCAGAGCACTTAGCCCAGTTTGCTGTGAAAATTGTCAGAACCCAAAATGGAGTCACTCATATTAAGAAAACCCTGACAAATAGAGCCAGGGAAGGACATGCAGAGGGTTCTCCAGCTTGGATGACTGATAACAAAAACATCACAAAAGACTGCAAATACCACAGCCTTGCACAAAGGCCACTGCAACCTTAACACAAAAAAATTACTTTTGCAAGGACATCTGCCCAGCAACTGCCTGTCCAACTTCAGACCGGCATCACCCTTGTTATTGATCTTTGTAGCGAAGGATAATTATTTCAAAACAATTATGTAATCTTCCACATTTTTGTCCTTTAAAAACCTTTGTCTTCCTTTACCTCTCTGAATGCACACATAGTTTACTATGGCATGCACGTTCCCATTGCAATGCTCTACTCCCAAATAAACATCTTTTCTTTTAGAGAGCTTGTCCCTGTTTGTTATTTAGATTGACATTGCCTGAAAGTCAGAATTACCCAAGTGTGTCTCAGGGTGTCCTTGAAGTAGACAAGGTGCCCTTGAAGGCCAGACTATGCTTGGTATGTTTGAAGAAGAGCAAGGAGGCCACAGGGGATGGAGGTAGAGTGGTTGAAAGGATTCAACTGCCATTGAAAAGGACACATTCAAATAATGGCATGAGATGAGGAGGCCATAGACTTGGGGATGGGGGAAGGCCCAGATCCTGCAGGACTGTTGAACTAAACTGTTAAGAGCTTTGGTTTTGTTTTTATAGAGATGGGGTCTCATATGTTGTCCAGGCTGGTCTTGAACTCCTGGGCTTGGCCGGGAGTGGCGGCTCATGCCTGTAATCCCAGCACTTTGGGAGGCCTAGGTGGGAGGATTGCTTGAGGCCAGGAGTTTGAGACCAGCCTGGGCAACATGGCAGAAACCCTGTCTCTACTAAAAAAAAAAAAAATACAAAAATTAGCTAGGCATGGTGGCACTCGCCTGTAATGCCATCTGCTCAGGAGGCTGAGGTGCAAGGATGGCTTGAGCCAGGGAGGTGGAGGTTGAAGTGAGCCGAGATCGCACCACTGCACTCCAGCCTGGGCAACAGAGCCAGACCTTGACTCAAGAAACAAACAAGAACAAAATTCTCCTGGGCTCAACCAATCTTCCCGCCTTGGCCTCCCAAAGTGCTGGGTTTACAAATGTGAGCACCCAACCCAAGAGCTTTGGTTTTGCATCTGAATAAAAGGAGAAGTTGTTTTGAACAAGAAACAACATGTATCCCTTACCACCCTCTCCCGACCCACCCCGAAGATTTCATTGTGAAAACAAGCTGGGGAAGTGGACATGGAACTATCATATTCCCCCTGGCCTATTGGGTCCTGTTCACTGTGTTAGATCCTTTTATATACATGGTCTACTGTGTTCCTCACAATACTAGCATTTGCTTCTTTTACTTCTTTTTTATTAATAGATCGGGTCTTGCTCTGTTGCTCTATTGCCCAGGCTGGAGTGCAGTGGCATGATCATGGCTCACTGCAACCTCCGACTCCCTGGCTCAAGCCATCCTTCCACCTCAGCCTCTCGAGTAGCTGGGACTAGAGGTGCGTATCACCATGCCCAGCTAATTTTTAAAAGTTTTTGAGAAATGAGGTCTTGCTATGTTGCCCAGGCTGGTCTCGAACTCCTGGCCTCAAGCAATCCTCCTGCCTCACCCTCCCCGAAATAGAAGAGCTGATTAAGAAGTTGATAGCCCATTAATGTTGGTCAGCCCATTTAACCCTTGTAGTCTGGGGGACGGGGGACACAAAGTATCATAGGAAGTTTGATGACTGAGAGTCTGATGCCCCCAAGTCTACAGGCATCTGGGTCTTTATATCAGCAGTTAGGGCATGTTGGTGACAAGCTGACACATTTATCTTCCCTGCCCTACAGCAAGGTGGAAAGATTCTGGAATGGCCAAAAACAAAACTGGGTTGGACTCTCTCAGCTCTGACACTTGTTTGGGGATAAACCACTTAATCTTTCTAAATTGTAGAAGTTTTCTAAATCTTTTAGTTGTAAAAATAGTAATGGGTTTGTTGGAGGATTCAATGAGATAATGGAAGTAAATCGCTTAGCATGGTGCCAGGCACTTACCAAGTTCTCAGTTGAGATTAGCTTTTACTGTTGGTAGTGTCAGCATCATACCCATTCATCCCTGTATTTATGAAACAAGTATTTATTGAGTGCACTGTCTTCCAGGGGCCATTCTAGGTGCTGGCATTCCACAGGGAACAAGGTGAAATCCCTGCATTGCAGTGAGAGGAGACAGACAATAAACAAATGACTATTGGCCGGGCGTGGTGGCTTACGCCTGTAATCCCAGCACTTTGGGAGGCTGAGGCTGGTGGATTACCTGAGGTCAGGAGTTCGAGATCAGCCTGACCAAGAAGGTGAAACCCCATCTCTACTAAAAATACAAAAATTAGCTGGGCATGGTGGCAGGCGCCTGTAGTTCCAGCTACTTGGGAGACTGAGATGGGAGAATTGCTTGAACCCGGGGGACGGAGGTTGCCGTGAACCAAGATTGAGCCACTGCACTCTAGCCTGGGTGATGGAGTGAGATTCCGTCTCAAAAAAACAAAACAAAACAAACAAACAAACAAAATGAATATTGTGTCAGCCGGTGATCAAACATGACACTTGGCTGGGCGCGGTGGCTCACACCTGTAATCCCAGCAATTTGGGAGGCTGAGGTGGGCAGACTACCTGAGGTCAGGAGTTCAAGACCAGCCTGGCCAACATGGTGAAACCCCATCTCTACTAAAAATATAAAAATTAGCTAGGCATGGTCATGAGCCCCTGTAATCCTAGCTACTTGGGAGGCGGAGGCAGGAGAATCGCTTGAACCCAGGAGGGGAGGTTGCAGTGAGCCAAGACTGCGCCATTACCCTCCAGCATGGGTGACAGAGTGAGACTCCATCTCAAAAAAAAAATTAATTAAAAAATAAAAAATAAAACATGACAGTTAAAGCAAGCAAAGGAATAAAGTGATGGGAGAAAGGAAATGCTACTGTACATAGTGAGGAGGTGATATTGGAGCACAGACCTGAAGAAGTTAAGGAATCAGGCTCTGGCGGAACAGTATTCCGGGTAGAAGACACAGCAAGTGCAAGGGCCCTGAGGCTGGAATGTGCTTGGTGTGTTTGAAGAAAAGCAAGGAGTTGCCACAGCTGGAAGTAAAGTGGTTGAGAGGTTCAGGTGTAGTGATCCATGCCTGTAATCCCAGCACTTTGGGAAGCCAAGGTGGGCAAATTGCTTGAGCCCAGAAGTTTGAGACCAGCCTGGGCAAGATAGGCCCCATCTCTACAAAAAATTAAAAAAAAAAATTAGCCAGATATGATCCCAGCTACTTGGAAGGCTGAAGTGGGAGGATCATTTGAGCCTGGAAGATTGAGGCTGCAGTGACCTGTGATGGTGCCACTGCACTACAGCCTGGGCAACAGAGCAAGACCCTGTCTCCAAAAAAAAAAAAAAGATGGTTGAGAGGGTTCAATCGCCATTGGAAATGACACATTCAAATGATGGCATGAAATCAGGCCAGAGAGTTGGGGATGGAGGAAGGCCCAGATCCTGAAGAATTTGAGGACTGTTAAGAGCTTTGGTTTTGCATCTGAATAATGTCACTTCTTGCTATTTTAAACAATAAGTTATCCCTTTAACACCCCCCAGATTTTATTTTAAAAAGTTACAAGTATATAGAAAAGTTGAAAAATTATATGACATCTGTATGGATTCTATACTTAACATTGCATTATATTTGCTTTATCACACATCTACTCAATTATTCATCAATTTATTTATTTATTTATTATTTTTGAGACAGAGTGTCACTCCTGTTGCCCAGGCTGGAGTGCAATGGTGCAATCTTGGCTCACTGCAACCTCCACCTCCCAGTTTCAAGCGATTCTTCTGCCTCAGCCTCCCAAGTAGCTGGAATTACAGGCCTGCACCACTACACCCAGCTAATTATTTATTTTTTTAAAGTAGAGATGGGGTTTCACCATGTTGGTCAGGCTGGTCTCGAACTCCTGATCTCAGGTGATCCACCCGCCTCAGCCTCCCAAAGTGCTGGGAACAGGCGTGAGCCACTGCGCCCGGCCCATCAATTTATCTTTCGTTTTGTGCATTACAAAGTAAGTCACAGGTTTAGCAGCATGCATGGTCTCTAAAGCAAAAGCACAAGCAAAACCAAAAATACTAAGTTACGGATATCAGTTACTTTATCCCCAAATACTTCAGTCTGCATATCATTAACTAGAATTCAATATCTGTTCATATTTTGTAAGAGAAAATTTACACACATTGAAATGCACAAATCTTAAGGATATCACTCTCTAAATACTTGCAAATGCACATGCTTCTGCATCCCAAATCCTTATCAAGATAGATAATATTGTCATCACTTCTCCCTCCCTCCTCCAATCTGCCACTATTGATTTTTTCTGCCATATTGGTATGTTGGTTTTGTCTCTTCCAATGCTTTAGATGAGTGGATTTATACAGTACATAGGCTTGTGTAGAGTTTTCTCTCATTCAGCATAATTTGAGATTCACCTGTGCTATAACTTGTATCAATAGTTTCTTTTTTATTGTGGAGTAGCATTTCTTTATATGAATATACCAGTTTGTTTAACTTTTTTCCTGTTGATGCACACCAGGGTGGTTTCTAGTTTTTGTCTGCCTTAAACTTTTTTTTTGATTGACAAGTAATAATTTTATGTGTTTATGAGGCACCACGTGATGCTTCCATACATGTATATATCTGGAATGATCAAAATCACCACCTTACCTTTGAAAAAAATTTCTCTAGCAGCAGGTTAGAGAATAGACTCTTGGCTGAAAAGATAGAAACAGACCAGGTGTGAAGCTCAGGCTTGCAATCCCAGTGCTTTGTGAGGCCGAGGCGGGTGGGTCACTTGAGGCCAGGAGCTCCAGACCAGTCTGGGCAACATAGTGAGACCTAAAAACATTATCCGGGTGTGATGGCTCACACCTGTAGTCACAGCTACTTGGGAGGCTGAGGTGGGAGGATCACTTCAGTCCAGAAGATTGAGGCTGCATTGAGCTATGATTGTGCCACTGCCACTGCATTCCAGCCTGGGTGACAGAGCAAGATGCTGTCTCTAAAAATCAATCAATCAATCAATCTTTGCTCTTTTCTGTAAAATCTGAATGATTGTAATTCATTCCCTGTATATAAGAAAATGCATTGAAAATGCTGAACACGGTGTCTGGCTTGTCTGAGGCATTCAAAACCATCAGCTGTTATTATTAGAACTTTTCATCAAAACCCACCCTAGTCTCTGTCCTCTGGATCACAAGCTCCCTAGAGCTTTTAATCTCTCAATTGGAATTTCCCACTGGAGGCAGCTCCTTGAGGAATTTCTGTTATTATTCTCCCTACAGGATACCTTAGCTGATACAGTTCATTTACAAGGTGGCTCACTGCAAATGCGTAGCTGAGGAGATTGGACCAAAGTTACTGAACGTGTTGAATCTAAGAGGAAAGCATGACAATCAGGTCGTTCCTTATGAAGGAATGGGTTATCTCCAGGGGAAGGGAGTTGTCTAAACCTTGAAGATGTTGTTAACTGAGATAATGTATATAAAGAGGTTAAGCTACGGTCAAAACAAGGCTACCACCACATTATCGCTTGCCTGAAAAAGATAAGACTCAAGCCATCCTTCTAACCTCAGCCTCTCAAGTAGCTGGGACCATAGGTGGGTGCCACCACGCCCAGCTTTTTTTTTTTTTTTTCTTTTTTCAGAGATGGAGTCTTCCTAAATTACCCAGGCTGGTTGCAAACTCCTGGGTGAACCTCCTGCCTCAACCTGTCAAAGTGCTGGGATTATAGGCATCAGATACTCTGCCTGGCCTCCTTCTGAAACCAAGAATCTATTCTCTAACCCGCAGCCAGAAGGATTCTTTTCAAATGCAAAAAATCTTGTCAACCAGGCTGGATTGCAGTGGTGTGATCATAGTTCATTGCAATCTCAAATTCCTGGGACAGCAAAGATTTAAATTCATTGCCTCTGGCTTCAGAGGCTGTAATCTTAACTACTATGGCTACACCAATTCCCTTTCCATTGCAAAAGATGAATGGAATAGTTGTAATGCAGCAAGCTGATTTTCTTTTCCTCCCAACAAAGTTGACCCCAAATCACTAATTCATTTTCTAAAATCCCCAAAAGGACATCATCTGGGCCAAGCGTCGTGGCTCATGCCCGTAGTCTCAGCACTTTGGGAGGCCGAGATGGATGGATCACCTGAGGTCAGGAGTTGGAGAGCGGGCTGGCCAACATGATGAGACCCCGTCTCTACTAAAAATATTATACAAGGCTGGGCATGGTGGCTCATGCCTGTAATCCCAGCACTTTGGGAGGCCAAGGTGGGCGGATCACCTGAGGTCGGGAGTTCGAGACCAGCCTGACCAACATGGTGAAACCCTGTCTCTACTAAAAATACAAAATTAGACGGGCATGGTGGCACACGCCTGTAATCCCAGCTACTCGGGAGGCTGAGGCAGGAGAATCGCTTGAACTTGGGAGGCGGAGGTTGTGAGCTGAGATTGTGCCATTGCACTCCAGCCTTGGCAACAAGAGTGAAACTCCGTCTCAAAAAAAAAAAATTATACAAAAATTAGGCCAGGCATGGTGGTACATGCCTGTAGTCCCAGCTACTCGGGAGGCTGAGGTGGGAAAATTGCTTGAATCCAGGAGGTGGAGAGCTTGCAGTGAGCCAAGATCACGCCACTGCACTCCAGTCTGGGCAAGAGAGTGAGACCCTGTCTCAAAAAATAATAAAATAAAATAAAATAAAATAAAATAAAATAAAATAAAATAAAAAGGACATCATTCAAAATGGCAACATGAGGTCAAAGTAGGGCTCATGGATAGGGTGACCAGCTCGGTTTGCATGAGACTTTCCTTGTTTTAATTTTACTTTTTTTGTTTTGAGACAGGGTCTCCCTCTGTCATCCAGGCTGGGGTGCAGTGGCACAATCATGACTCATTGCAGCCTCTTCCCAGGCTCAGGTAATCCTTCCGTCTCAGCCTCCAGAGTAGAGGATTACAGACAAACACTACCACACCCAGCTAAGTATTTTGTATTTTTAGTAGAGATGGAGTTTCATCATGTTGCCCAGGCTGGTCTGGAACTCCTGAGCTCAAGTGATAGGCCCACCTACGCCTCTCAAAGTGCTGGGATTACAGACAGGAGACATTGTGCCTGGCCGACTTTCCCTGTTTTAGCACACTCAATATCCAAGGCAAACTGGGATGGTTCAATCACCCTACTCATGAAAGAAGGTCGGTGTCCATGTAGAATACTCCCATTTGTGATCTGGATAGAGTGATGTGAATTGATCCCAGGGTCATGAATTTACCCACGAAGCAGTCTCCTTTGGTTCCTGCTCTTCTCAGTCTTAGGACAATCTGTTTGGATACAATCCACTGAAGGAACAAACTTAGCAACTTGTACCATCAATCAACTGGCATTTGAGGACATGTTGACAAATAAATATGCCATCCCCAAGAGGGCAGGAGATTATTCAGTAGTTCTTCCATATTAACTATAAGCTTTGGGACCCTGAAAGCATTTTTTCTCTCTTATAGACAGAATAACATCTCCTGGAAACCAGCTTGCTCCCCTGACTCCACTGCCATGGGTCTCATATAAGGTCATGCACCTTTTTGTTTGGACCAGGGCACTGGCTTTCTAGTGTTGAAGGTTCTGGAGCCTTCAACATCTCATTGTCTTAATTCTTCTCACCTACTAAATAGAGCATCAAAGAGAACCACTGAAAGCATCTAGCCTCAGGCTGCGTGCGGTGGCTCACGCCTATAATACCAGCACTTTGGGAGGCCGAGGCAGGCGGATCTCAAGTGATCCGCCTGCCTCGGCCTCCCAAAGTGCTGGGATTACAGGTGTGAGCCACCACGCCTGGCCTGTCTAACCAGTCTTGGCCTCCAGCACGGGCCATTTGAAAAGGGAGTAGACATGGGCTCTGCTGGAGAAATCAGCATCCAGGTTGGAAACTGATCAATAGATTTTATGCTTTATCCTGGAGCCTATGTGGGGTCACTGGCAGCTTTACAGTGCAGCTTTATGGCACATGCAGGCTGAGGTCTGATCCAGCCTTTGCGGAAGGAGGAATAATAAAGGGGGAAACCAGCCATGGTGGCTCATGCCTGTAATCCCGGCACTTGGGGAGGCTGAGGTGGGTGGATCACTTGAGGTCAGGAGTCTTTACGGAAAATACGAAAGAAAAAAACAAAAACAAACAAACAAAAACTAATAAGGTATGGTGGCATGTGCCTGTAATCTCAGCTACTCGGGAGGCTGAGGCAGGAGAATGGCTTGAACCCAGGAGGTGGAGGTTGCAGTGAGTCGAGATTGCATCACTGCACTCCAACCCAGGCGACAGAGCAAGACTTTGTCTAAAAAAAAAAAAGAAAAAAGGCGGGGGGGGGTTGGGGGGGAAACCAGAAACAAATTCCATAAAGACAGCTACAAAAGAATGCCGTGAAGAGAAAAAAATAAAGAAAAAAAATTGAAACACAGCTGACAGCACCCTTAGCCCACACTGTCACTGAACAGAAATTCAATTTATTTGCTTTTTGCTTGGAGATGTAGCACAGTTTTTGACAGAAGTGCTATGCATTCTGTCAAAGAGACGTCTCGATGTGATTGGGAAAATTGCAATTTTAATATTCTCTTTCCTCCTGCAAGCCCTTTGCATGTTTTCCACTACACTAGCCTCTGATTGCTCACAGTTAAATATAGATGAACTCCCCAGATCTTCGTCCCCTCCTCTGTTTTATGAGTGCCATTATTAGGTTGACTCTGTGTGTGTGCTTCTTTAATCTAAGCAAGAAAAAAGACAATGCAACAAATAAACGAGGAAGAGGGCAGAGAAAGATAAGAGAAGCCCCTTTGGTAAATAGGAGTTAGGATATTTATAGGCATTGAGAACTAAGATTTTTTTTTTTGAGGTGGAGTCTTGCTGTATTGCCCAGGCTGGACTGCCGTGGTGAGATCTCTGCTAACTGCAACCTCGGCCTCCCGGGCTCAAGCAATTCTCCTGCCTCAGCCTCCTGAGTAGCTGGAATTAGTCATGGGCCACTACGCCTGGCTAATTTTTGTATTTTTAGTAGAGATGGGGTTTCATCATTTTGGCCAGGCTGGTCTCTAACTCTTGACCTCAGGTGATCTCCCTGCCTTGGCCTCCCAAAGTGCTGGCATTACAGGGCAGGAGCCACCTCACCTGGCTGAGAACTAAGATTTTTCAAAGTAATAATATTTACTGTCCTTACTACCTTCTATGTGATAGATGCTTTATTCTGTTGGCACTCTTTCTGATGTTTGTGAATCTCTGAGCTGACCCTAGTTTCCTACACACTTTACAGATGAGGAAATTGTTGTTTGGTGAGAATCTCATTTGCCTAAGGTCTGGAAATGTGGTGAGGGCAGGTTCAAACCCAGGGATACAGGGCCCGGATCTGTGCATTAAACTGTGGTGCTATGCCTCCGTGACCCAGCCCGACATACATAGTGGGTACCTACAATTTTTCCTGCTCAGCGTTCGCCTTTTGTGTGACTTACCCTAATTTCTCCTTTGAAAAATGCTCTTCCTCTGCTATGTGTATAAAATTGGCAAGAGGCTGACCCCCATTTCCAAGGCCCATGGGCACATGACCATCTGGCCAATCAGAGTATTCTGACTCCTGGCCGAAGTGATTGGTTCATGGATGACCACGTGATCTAAGCCAGGCCAACGCAATTCATTCCTGGAACTCTTAACGGGACTCTAAGTAATTAGAGCACTTTTTTGGCTGAGGTTGCTAAATTGGTAGGATATTAGCCTGGAGTTTCTGGGATTGTCTTTGAGAACAATGAAAGGAGAGCTTGCATGGGGTGAAGTCAACTATGTGAGACACGGAGCTGAGAGATAGGGAGACTCCCTGTCTCTCACTGAGTATCAGTGATTCCTCAAGGAATCACTGTCCTTGTTACTCTACAGTTATTGATCCAAATGGCTGAGTTCTCCACTTGAGGATAACCATGTTATCCTCATGTTATCTGGTGCTAGCAGAGTGCCTGGCACAGAGTAAGGGCTCAGAAGTGAGGCCGGGCATGGTGGCTCACACCTGTAATCTCAACACTTTGGGAGGCCGAGGCAGGCGGATCACTTGAGGTCAGGGGTTCGAGACCAGCCTAGCCAACATGGTGAAACTCCCCTCTCTACAAAAAATACAAAAATTAGCCGAGTGTAGTGCTGTGCGTCTGCAATCTTAGCTAATCAGGAGGCCGAGGCAGAAGAATCACTTGAACCCGGGAGGCAGAGGTTGCAGTGAGCCAAGATAACGCCACTGATTTCCAGCCTGGGTGACAGAGCAAGACTCCGTCTCCCCCGCAAAAAAGAAAAGAAAACAGAAATGCTTGTCAATGGGTGAGTGCAGAGACATCCTGGGGTCTGGTCCCAGTTCTGCCCTTAATGTATTGGACAATTCATTTCTCCTCTCTGGGTCTCAGTACTCCCATTAGTACAAAGAGGGTTGATCACTTTAATGATCTCCAAAACTGATTAAGAATCAGGTGGGAGATTGCTACAGACATTTTCAAGCATATGCAAAAGCGAAGAGAATAGTGAGATGAACCACCGTATGCCAACATCCATGTTCAATAGTCATCACCCAGAGCCAATTTGGTTATATTCATACCTCCACCAACTTGAATTTTCTCCCTCTGCTAGGTTCTTCTGAAGCAAAATCCAGGCATAGCATCATTTAATCCACAAGTAATTCAGTATGCGGATTTAAATATAAAGTTTTTTTAAAACAAAATTACATTACCATTATTTTATTTATTTATTTATTTATTATATTTTTGAGACAGAGCCTTGCTGTGTCGCCCAGGCTGGACGGAGTGCAGTGGCACGATCTCGACTCACTGCAAGCTCCACCTCCCTGGTTCAAGCGATTCTTGTGTCTCAGCCACCCGAGTAGCCGGGATTACAGATGTGCGCCACCACGCCCAGCTAATTTTTTTGTATTTTTAGTATCGACGGCGTTTCACCATGTTGGCCAAGCTGTTCTCAAACTCCTGACCTCAAGTGATCCGCCTGCCTTGGCCTCCCAAAGTGCTGGGATTACAGGTGTGAGCTACCATGCCTGGCCCATTATTATACTTGAAATTAATAATGAGATCATCAAATATCAAATATCTAGTAGTTGTCCAAATTTTCCTATATATATATATATATATATATATACAGTTATTTTGTTTAAATCAGGATCCACATGAGTTTCACACATTGCCTTTGGTTGGATCTCTTAAATTGCCTCTACTCTTTATATTTCTATGTTTTCTTTAATTAATTAATATAGAGATGGGGATTCGCCATGTTCCCCAGGCTGGTCTTGAACTCCTGGGCTCAAGCAATTCACCGGCCTCGGCCTCCCAAAGTGCTAACATTACAGGCACGAGCCACCAGGCCTGGCCACATTTCTATATTTTCTATATACTCTCTCTTTATTCTTCTGTTTCTCCTTCCTCTTTATTTATTTATTCTTCCAATTAACTTGTTTTGGAAATGGGCTCACTTATCCTAGAAAATTCTGGGTTGGGAGAGAGTAAAATTTGCATATTCTTGGGCCCCCATCTCAGACATACTGAATCAGAATTTTCAATGCCGAGGTCAAGAAAATTTTTTCTTTTTTTCTTTTTTTTTTTTTTAACCAAGGAACTCTCCAGCTAAGCTCTATGTCTTGTCAGGGTCCCTTCCAAAGTGGCATTTTTTGGTTTCCTCTAACAAAGCCATATCTCCCCCAACACAATGTTTACGGACAGGCCTTTGGTGTATGTCCAACAACATCTCACCGTATCAGTCTTTGTTGAATATTGCTTTTGTAGTCATAAATATATGTAATATGTACTAAGTGCTTATAATCTTCCAGCTAGCATGTGTGTCTTGCACATGTATTGTTTCCAGTTGAGTCTCCCAAGAGCCCTGTGATGTTGGTCCTAATTGGCTGCAGCACATGCCATTGCCAATGTAGCTGACCATTTTTTGACCTATAAAACTTGTCATTTCATAGTGTTTGACTTAATATCCCCCTTTTTTTCAGATGTGGAAAATGAGGCCAGGTGTGGCGGTGGCTCATGCCTGTAATCCCAGCATTTTGGGAAGCTGAGGTGGGAGGATCTTTTGAGCCCAGGAGTTCAAGATCCCATTTCTATTAAAAAATATATGTGTGATATATATATATATATATATATATGTTATATATATAACATATATATATATATATGGAAAATGAAGCTCAGAGTCATCAAGCAATGTAGAGGATGAAAGAAAGAAAGAACTCAGCCCGGTTTGGTGGCTCACACCTGTAATCTCAGCTCTTTGGGAGGCCGAGGTGCGTGGATCACCTGAGGTCAGGAGTTCGAGACCAGCCTGGCCAACATGGTGAAACCCCGTCTCTACTAAAAATATGAAAAAATTAGCTGGGTTTGGTGGCACAGGCCTGTAATCCCAGCTACTCGGGAGGCTGAGTCAGGAGAGTCACCTGAACCCAGGAGGCGGAGGTTGCAGTGAGCCAAGATCTGTGCACACATGCCCACTGCCTCTCAATGACAGCTTCCAATGCATTTAGGAGGTAGGTACACACAGCATGCAGCACACAGCAGGGGCTCAATAAATGCTCCTTTTCTTCTTCATCTTTTTTTTTTTTTTTTTTGAGATAGAGTCTCAATCTGTCTTCCAGGCTTGAGTGCAGTGGCACAATCTCAGCTGATTGCAACCTCTTCCTCCCTGGTTCAAGCAATTCTCCCTTTTCAGGCTCCTGAGTAGTTGGGACTAGAGTAATGCGCCACCACACCCAGCTAATTTTTGTGTTTTTAGTAGAGATGAGGTTTCACCATGTTGGCTGGGCTGGTCTCGAACTCCTGAACTCAGTGATCTGCCTGCCTCGGCCTCCCAAAGTGGTAGGATTATAGGTGTGAGCCACTGTGCCCAGCCAAATTCTCTTTTTCTTTTCTTTTTTGATACAGAGTCTCAGTCTGTCGCCCAGGCTGGAGTGCATTGGTGCCATCTTGGCTCCCTGCAACCTCCGCCTCCGGGGTTCAAGTGATTCTGTGCCTTAGCCTCCCGAGTAGCTGGGATTACAGGTGCCCGCCACCACGCCCAGCTAATTTTTGTATTTTTAGTAAAGACAGGGTTTCACCATGTTGTCCGGGCTGGTCTCGAACTCCTGGCTTCAAGTGATCCACCTGCCTCGGCCTCCCAAAGTATTGGGATTACAGGAGTGAGCCACCATGCCTGGTCGAAATGCTTCTTTTCTTGTCTTTGCCTCTCGGCAATGGCATGGCTCCCTGAGCCACCTTCTCTCCCTCCTGCCCATCCACCATCCCTGCCAGCATGACAGATGAAGTTCTGAGGCCTACAGATGCCTAAAGCAGAAAGTAGCGATATGTGGATGCTCCTCTCCCTCTCTCTTCCTGCAACCTAACTGGACACACAGTGAAGAGACCATGTGTGAGTTCATGGGTAGAGAGAGAAGATAATTCAAACTTTGGGTGTGGGGAAGGTTCTAGAATCTCTCATGATATACTGGAAGGGTAGATTTCCAAACTTTCCTCCCATTTTCTTTCTCTCTTTTTTTCTTTTTCTCTTTTTTTTTCTTTTTTGAGATAGAGTCTCTGTCACCCAGGCAAGAGTGCAGTGGTGTGATCTCAGCTCACTGCAACCTCTGCCTCTCAGGTTCAAGGGATTCTCCCACCTCAGCCTCCTGAGTAGCTGAGACTACAGGCGCACGCCACCATGCCCAGCTAATTTTTGTATTTTCAGTAGAGATGGGGTTTCACTATGTTGGCCAGGCTGGCCTCGAACTCCTGACCTCAAGTGATCTGCCCGTCTCAGCCTCCCAAAGTGCTGGGATTATAGGCATGAGCCACTGCACCTGGTCTTTCCCCCACATTTTCTTTGCAAAAGTGCTGAGGTAGCTAGGCTATGAAAATCAGCCAGCTGTGAGCTGCCCAGCTGACAAAGGGGCCACAGCTGGAGAGGAACAGTGGCTGTTGATTCCAGCTGCAAATGAAAGGGTCAACACCTTGTAGGAAAAAAAAAAAATCCAGACATCAGCTGGTGGAAATGGTCCCAGAGTTCATAATAACAGAAAGGAAGGCAAGGAGATTTTATTGTTTTAATTGGCAGCTGTCTCTGGATTCTTTTTTTAAAAGAGAGTTTGGAGACTGTAACCCGGGCAGGTGTGTGTGTGTGTGCACATGTGTGTGCACGTGTGTGTAAGGGAAGCTGGAAGAAAACTGTGTCTGTGAATATGAGAATGGGAAGACTGGGAGGAGAGACTGCTGTGTGTGTATTAGCCAGGGAGGTAGAGAGGACAGTAGCCATCTCCTGCATATGGGACCCGTGAGAAAGAAAGAGACTAAGAGACTTTGAAAGTGGGAAATGTCTCAGGGAAGAGAAGACAAATCTATTTTTATTCCTTTTTTTTTTTTTTTTTTTTTTTTTGAGACAGAGTCTCACTTTGTCATCCAGGCTGGAGTGCGTGGGGCGAACTCAGATCACTGCAACCTCTGACTCCCGCATTCAAATGATTCTCCTGACTCAGCCTCCTGAGTAGCTGGGATTACAGGTGCATGCCACCACGCTTGGCTAATTTTTGTATTTTTAGTAGAGACGGGGTTTCACCATGTTGGCCAAGCTGGTCTCGAACTCCTGACCTCAGATGATCCGCCCGCCTCGGCCTCCCAAAGTGCTGGGATTATAGGCATGAGCCACCACATCTGGTCTGAGAAGACAAATCTTAATTATGTGTGTATGCATGTGTCTATATGAAAATGGAAAGCCCAGTGCGGTGGCTCATGCTTGTAATCCCAGAACTTTGGGAAGCTGAGGCTAGAAGATTGCTTGAGGCTACGAGTTCAAGACCAGCCTGGGTGAATAGTGTGAACTTTTCTCAAAAAAAAAAAAAAATCAATAAATAAATTTTAAAAAATTGAAAATTGTAGATGAAAGAGTGGGAAAAAACTAAAGTGGAACTGGGAGAGGAAACCACGCATGGTGCAGGAGAGAGCTGGAGACGGACTCAGAGCCAGCTTGGAATGAGCAGTGGCACCAGGAGCTCCCTCCAGCCTGTTCAGAAATAGTTTCCGGGAACTGTGGTGCTTTCCCCGCCCCTGCTCTAGGGCCAGCGGGGAGATGAAGCTGCCCGCATCGCTTGTCTTGGCTGCCTCTCAGCTGACACTGCTGACAGGCTGCTTTGATCTCAGGTTATCAGGGCTAACCCTGTGCCCTGGGCCTGCTCTGCCAGCCCCGCCCACGCTCCCCTCTGCTGAAAGGGCATTCAGTAAGGCCACCAACTGTTGGGAGGGAGGCCCAGTCCGCGTGCCTGGTTGGCCTTGGAGCCTGGGTACTTGATGTAATGAAGGCACCATCTTTTATTCTCAAAACAGTGAAGAACAGGGGCCCAGCTGGGGAAAACAAGCTTTTGAAGTGTAGTCACACGAAATAGTGCCACCAAACATCTATGGAATGTCATATGTTTATGTCCTCATGCTGTCTGGACCTTCACCCCCAAAGGATGAGTAGTGAAAGAAAGAAAACAGGATGGGCAGCCAGGAAGATTTTTTTCTTTCCTTTTTCCCAACTTTTACACTTCTAAAAAAATCTTTTCTTTTTTCCTTTTTGTGGAGAACAGGATCTCGCTATATTGCCCAGGCAGGTCTCAAACTCCTGGGCTCAAGCTATCCTCCCGCCTCTGCCTCCCTAACAGCTGGGATGACAGGCATGAGCCACCATGCCTGGCCTTCTCCGCAACTTTTATTTTGGATTCAGGAGGTACATGTGCAGGTTTGTTACCTGTGTAGATGGCATGATGCTGAGGCTTGAGGTATGAATGATCCCATCACCCAGGTACTGATCATAGTACTCAACAGTTTATTTTTCGTTGTTGTTGTTTTTGAGACAGAGTTTCGCTCTTGTTGCCCAGACTGAAATGCAATGGTACGATCTCGGCTCACCACAACATCCACCTCCTGGGTTCAAGCAATTCTCCTGCCTCAGCCTCCTGAGTAGATGGGATTACAGGCATGTGCCACCATGCCAAGCTAGTTTTGTATTTTTAGTAGAGACGGGGTTTCTCCATGTTGGTCAGGCTGGTCTCGAACTCCTGACCTCAGTTGACTCACCCGCTTCAGCCTCCCAAAGTGCTGGGATTACAGGCGTGAGTCACCGCGCCTGGCCCCAACAGTTAGTTTTTCAAGCCCTGCCCCCGTCTTTTCCTCCGCCCACTGGTAGTCCCCAGTATCTGTTCCTATCTTTATGCTCATAAGTACCCAATGTTTAGCTCCCACCTATAAGTGAGAACAGGGGGTAGTTCCTATTCTGTTCCTGTATTAATTCACTTAGGATAATGGCCTCCAGCTGCATCCATGTTGCTGCAAAGAACATGATTTTATTCATTTCTATGGCTGTGCAGTATTCCATGGTGTATATGTGCCACATTTTCCTTATCCAATTCATCGTTGTTGGGGACTTAGGGTTGATTCCATGCCTTTGCCATTGTGAATAGTGCTGCAATGAACATATAAGTGCAGGTGTCTTTTTGGTAGAATGATTAGTTTTCTTTTGGATATATACTCAGTAGCAGGATTGCTGAGTTGAACGGTAGTTCTGTTTTAAGTTCTTATAAGCCTCGACCTCTCTGGGCCAAGTGATCCTCCCACCTCAGCCGCCAGAGTAGCTGGGACCACAGATGTGCACTTGTGGGGAATTTTTTTCTTTTGTGGAGATGGGGTCTCACTACGTTGCCCAGGATAATCTTGAACTCCTGAGCTCAAGTGATTCTCCCACCTCGGCCTCCCAAAATGCTGGGATTGCTGGTGTGAGCCAATGCATCTGGCCCTGTTTTAAGTTCTTTGAGAAATCTCCAGACAGCTTTCCACAGTGGCTGAACTAAATTTACATTCCCACCAACAGTGCATAAGCGTTCCATTTTCTGGGCAGCCTCACCAGCATTTGTTGTTTTTTGACTTTTTAGTAATAGCCATTCTGACTAGTGTGAGATGGTATCTCATTGTCCTTTTGATTTGCATCTCTCTGATGATTAGTGATGCAGAACATTTTTTTCATGTTTGTTGACTGCTTGTATGTCTTTTTTTTTTTTTTTTCTTTTTGAGATGGAGTTTCGCTCTTGTTGCCCAGGCTGGAGTGCAATGGTGCAATCTTGGCTCCCCTCAACTTCTGCCTCCTGAGTTCAAGCGATTCTCCTGCCTCAGCCTCCCAAGTAGCTGGGATTACAGGCAAGCGCCATCATGCCCGGCTAATTTTGTATTTTTAGTAAAGACAGGGTTTCTCCATGTTGGTCAGGCTGGTCTCGAACTCCTGACCTCAGGTGATCCACCTGCCTCCACCTCC
Organism: Homo sapiens; assembly: GCF_000001405.40. Classification (NCBI taxonomy): domain Eukaryota; kingdom Metazoa; phylum Chordata; class Mammalia; order Primates; family Hominidae; genus Homo; species Homo sapiens. The sequence goes on from NC_000012.12 coordinate 114,801,951, forward strand.
CAAAATGCTAGGATTACAGGTGTGAGCCACTGTGCCTGGCCACTTCTATGTCTTAAAACTTGCTTTCTTCTCTTAAGACCTCTGTTGAGTCATTGGATGTCCTTGGGCAAATCTTACTTCTGTTTGGAACTCAGTTTTCATCTCCCATCTTGTAAAATAAAAGTGCTTTTATAACTCTGGAAACCTCTCTTCAAGCAAAATCATGTGCAGAAATCCAATATGTAAAACAGATTGAAGAAGAGTGGGGCTGGTTGAAGGGGATATGAAGACCTGATACCCTAACAATCTGTTCAGTCCATGTGTTGATTTCCTTTCTTTTGAGACAAGGTCTTGCTCTTTCACCCAGACTGGAGTGCAGTGGTATGATCATGGCTCCCTGCAGCCTTGACCTCTCAGGCTTAAGCAATCCTTCCACCTCAGCCTCCCAGGTAGCTGGGACCACAGGTGTGTGCCATCACATCCAGCTAATTCTTTTTTAAATTATTATTTTATTTTAAGATGAAGTTTTGCTCTGTTGCCCAGGCTGGAGAGCAGTGGTGCAATTTCGGCTCACTGCAACCTCTGCCTCCCGGGTTCAAGTGATTCTCAGGGAGGATCGGAGGTCTCAGCCTCCTGAGTAGCTGGGATTATAGGCATGTGCCACACACCTGGCTATTTTTGTATTTTTAGTAGAGATGGGGTTTCACCATGTTGGCCAAGCTGGTCTTGAACACCTGACCTCAGGTGATTCACCCACCTCAGCCTCCCAAAGTGCTGGGATTACAGGCCTGAGCCACTGCGCCTGGCCTAATTTTTTAAATATATATTTTTATAGAGGTTGGGGTCTCACTGTGTTGCCCAGGCTGGTCTCAAACTCCTGGCCTCAAGTGATCCTCTGTCCTCAGCCTCCCAAAGTGCTTGGATTACAGGCATAAGCCACCACATCTGGCTCCAATTTTTCCTTTTCATAAGGGCACGAGTCATACTGGATTGGAGCCTACCTTTAAGACCTCATTTTAACTCAATTTCCTCTATAAAGACAATATTTCCAAATCAGGTCATATTTGGAGGCCTGGGGGTTAGGACTTCAACCTATTTTTTTTTTCAAAGGATGAAATTCAATGCATAACACCCACTATGCCTTTTTTAAATTCCTGACTCAGAGAGTTTGTGAACATAATAAAATGGGCTGTTTTATATCACAAGCATTGGGGCAATTTGTTACACAGCAATAGTAACTGCAACAAGGGGTTAAACTGAAATAATATAGATGCATCAGCTCTATTTGGGTTCAAGCCCAGTTCCTCAACATCTTAATCCATCCTATTTACTTCTCCCAGCCTAGTTTCCTTATCAGAAAAATAGAGTATGATTAAGGGGGTATCTGTAAAGTCCCTGGTGTCATAGCAAGTGTTTGGCAAAGGTCTTTTATCTCTATCCTTTCTTCTGAAATTACCCCTTGCTAGAAGGCTCCTAATATGTTGGGGAATAAGTCTGAGTTCCTGAGTTTTGGGGGAAGCCCTTGGGTCCTGGGAACCGGATCTTTATTTCATACCTACTTGAATGAGGGAACACGTTCTTTCAGTAAGTTACTTCTTGGAGCAACTTCCCCGCTCAGACTTTCAAGACAATTTAGTCGGAGCTAACTCTGGTTTCTTGTTACCAAAGAGAAATGGGGCTCCTGCAAAGTCCTTGCAGAAAGGCTCTGACATCAAACAGCAACTACCCTACTGCATCCGAGGAGCTGAGTATAAATAAATCAAAACCATACCGGCTCCCTTTCCCTATGAGCACACACATGTAATTTCATTACAGCCGGAATGAAGTGCTGCAGGCTAAATGTGTTTGGGGCTAGGCTGAACCCAGCATGCTCTTGGAAGACCTGGGTCTGTTGGGCCAACTGAAGAGGAGGGCCTTCTTTTCCTTTTCCCCTCCTGCTGTATCTAATGTTTGTGTCACCCCCAAATTCATATGTTGAAACCTAACCTCCAGTGTGATGTTATTAAGAGTTGGGGCCGTAGGAAGGTGATGAGGTCATGAGGATGGAGCACTCATGAATGGGATTAGTGCCCTTAGAAAAGAGGCCTGCCAGGCACAGTGGCTCACGCCTATAATCCCAGCACTTTGGGAGGCCAAGGTGGGTGGATCACCTGAGGTCAAGGGTTCGAAACCAGCCTGGCCAACATAGTGAAACCCTGTCTCTACTAAAAATACAAAAATTAGCTGGGCGTGGTGACGGGCACCTGTAATCCCAGCTACTCGGGAGGCTGAGGCAGGAGAACAGCGTGAACCTGGGAGGTGGAGGTTGCAGTGAGCTGAGATCACACTACTGCACGCCAGCCTAGGTGACAGAGTGAGACTGTGTCTCAAAAAAAAAAAAAAAAAAAAAAAAACTGAAGCGAAATTCACAGAACATACAATTAACCATTTTAAAGTGCACAGTTCAGTGGCATAGAGTGCATTCACAATGTTGTGCAAACACCACCTCTTTCCAGTTTCAAGACTTTTGTATTGCCCTAGAAGAACACCTCATTCCCATGAAGTAATCACTCCCATTCCCTCTTCCCTCCAGCCCTAGGCAAGCACTAATCTACTGTCTGTCTCTATGGATTTGCCTATTCTAGACATTTCGTATGAATGGAATCATCCAATATGTGGCCTTTTCTATTTGGCTTCTTTGACAGCATCATGTCTTCATGTTCATCTATGTTGTAGGATGTGCCAGTACCTCACTCCTTTTTATGGCTGAAAATTAATCCATTTTAGGAATACACCACAATTTGTTAATCCATTTATCCATTGATAGACATTTGGGTTTTTTTTTTTTTGATGGAGTCTCACTCTGTCTCCTGGGTTCAAGTGATCGATTCTTCTGCCTCAGCCTCCTGAGTAGCTGAGACTACAGGCACACACCACCACGCCCAGCCAATTTTTGTATTTTTTGTAGAGATGGGGTTTCACCATATTGGCCAGGCTGGTCTCGAACTCATGACCTCGTGATCCGTCCACCTCAGCCTCCCAAAGTGCTAGGATTACAGGCATGAGCCACCTCACCTGGCCTGACATTTGGGGTATTTTCAACCTTTGCCTATCATGTAGCATGCTGCTGTGAATATTCACGTACAATGTGTGGACATGTGGACATATTTTTTTCATTTCTTTTGGGTATTTACCTCGGAGTGGACTTGCTGGGTCATATGATAGATTGACGTTGGACTTTTTGAGGAACTGCCAAAATACATTCCACAGTTTTTGAGCACTTGCTGTGTGCCAGGCATTGTGCTGAGCACTTTACATATATCAAGTCGAGTCACTGTGTCCTTGAGGACAGAGGTCGGTTACTATTCGCTGTGGTTTGAATGTTGTTGTCTTCTCCAAATCCATGTGTTGGAAACTTAATCCCCTATGCAACAGTTTTGAGAGGTGGGGTCTAATGGGAGGTATTTTAGGTCTTGAGGGCTCTGCTTTCATGAATGAATTAATGCTGCTATAAAAAGGGCTTGCCAGTGGGTTTATTCTCTTCTGCTCTTCCACCGTGTGAGCAGTAGTGTTCCTCCCACTGGAAGTTTGGGACACAGGAGTGCTCTTCAAATACTCCATTTGCCCCCGACATCCCTTACAGTTGATTGAGGCCACATAACAAGTTCTAGCGTAGGATGAGACATTCAAGATGACTTCTTTGAAGTGGGGCTGGGCTGTCATCAGACATCAAAACCTGCTGGCACCACGATCTTGGACTTCTCAGCCACCAGAACTATGAGAAATAAATTTCTGTTCTTTATAAATTGCCCTGTCTATGATATTCTGTTATAGCAGCACAAAACAGACTAAGACACTTTTATTCTCCTCATATCCTAGTTAAGGAAGCTGAGCTACAGAGAAGTTTAGCAACTTGTCCAAAGCCACACAGCTAGTAAGAGATGAAGCCAGGAAAATGATACCCAAGGTTTTTTTCTTTTCTTTCTTTCTTTCCTTCTTTTCTTTTCTTTTTTTGAGTCAGTGTCTCACTCTGTTGCTTAGGCTGGAGTACAGTGGTGCGATCATAGCCCACTGCAGCCTTGACCTCCCAGGCTCAAGAGATCCTCTCACCTCAGCTTCCTAAATAGCTGGAAGTTCAGGCATGTGCCACTATGTCCAGCTAATTTTGTAGAGGTAGGGTCTCACTGTGTTGCCCAGGCTGGTCTCCAACTCCTGGACTCAAGTGATTCTCCTGCCTAGGCCTTCCAAAGTGCTGAGATTATAGGCATGAGCCACCACACCCATCATAGGATGGTTTTAAGCAGAGAAGCAAAACAGTCAGATTTTATTTCTTGTTTTTCATTCTCTTTTCTCCCACAACATTTTCAAACACCAACTCTAGGATGAGGGGATGGTGGGATAAGGTTGATAGAAAGTTGGGAGCAGAAAAAAAGAAATCATGGCTACGTGCAGTGGTTCACGCCTGTAATCCCAGCACTTTGGGAGGCTGAGGTGAGCAGATTGCTTGAGCTCAGGAGTTCAAGACCAGCCTGGGCAATATGGCAAAACCCCATCTTTACCAAAAATACAAAAAATCAGCTAGGCATGGTGACATGCACCTGTGGTCCCAGCTACTTGGGAGGCTGAGGGACGAGAATTGCTTGAACCTGGGAGGCAAAAGTTGCAGTGAGCCGAGATCGTGCCACTGCACTCCAGCCTGGGTGACAGAGCAAGACTCAGTCTCAAAAAAAAAAAAAAAAAAAAAAAAAAAAAAAAAAAATCATGTGACCACAGTTGGAAGGGTTTCATTTCTCCTCTTGTACTTAGAAATGGACACATAGACAGGATGTGGCCCTGACCCACGTATGGATAAATGTGGCAAGAACCTGCTTTCTTGCTAAATCACTCGGCTGTTTGACAAGGCTGGGAAAGAACTTGGGGCCAGGACAGAAAAGCCTGGTCCAGGCAGGCTTACTCAGGATGGGGGTGACATTACCAACACCCCATTTTCCTCTGCCTGTGTATAATTTCCCCATTAGGAGCCCCTGGGGTGTTGGGACACTCTTCAGCTGTGTGAATTCTAGCGTGTGAAGTTCAGGATTTCTTCTATTTTCCCTGGGGCTGGTGGTTGCAAAAAAGCAGGGCTGAGCAAGTAGTAGGTTCATCTAGCCCATGTTTGAGAAGATGAAGCCATCAGACAGGGCCTCTGCCCTTGGGGTCCCAGTGACAAAAGAAATCTGGACAATCCACCATGACATCAATCATTGTTTATTCAAGGCCAGGAATGGTGGCTCACGCTTGTAGTTCCAGCACTTTGGGAGGCCGAGGCAGGCGGATCACTTGAGTTCAGGAGTTTGAGACCAGCCTGGCCAACACAGTGAAACCCCGTCTCTACTAAAAATACAAAAATTAGCTGAGCATGATGGTGCGTGCCTGTAATCCCAGCCACTCGGCAGGCTGAGGCAGGAGAATCGCTTGAACCTGGGAGGCAGAGGTTGCAGTGAGCTGAGATCATGCCACTGCACTCCAGCCTGGGCAACAGAGTGAGACTTGGTCTCAAATAAATAAACAAACAAATAAATAAACAAATAAATCATCGTTTATTCAAAAGCCTTTATTGAACACCTACTGTGTGCCTGCATTGTTCAAGGGAGTCAGCAGTGCCTAAGAGATATTCTCTTCTTTTGTGGGAGAATGACAGGTAACAGGCAAATAACTTCAGGATATATCAGATGGTGGCAAATGCTCTGGGGAAAAATATCAGGGAAGGACAGCAGAACGTGATGGAAGATGCTGGTTTAGATCTGACACAGAAATCCTCTGGTGGGCAGAATGATGGTCCCAAACAGATGTTCATGTCCTAATCCCTGGAACCTGTGAGGATGTTGCCTGACACGGCAAAAGGGACTTTTCAGAGGTGATTGCATGAAGGCTCTAGAGTTGAAAGGATTATTCTGGATTATCCAGATGGCCCCTAGATCATCACAGGGGTCCTGATTAGAGGGAAGTGGGTGGTTCCGAGTCAGAGTCAGAGACGATGTGATGATGGAAGGAGTGGACGTGGGGCCATGAGCCAAGGAATGTGGCCGCCTGGAGAAGCTAGAAAAGGCAAGGAAATACATTGTCTCCTAGAGCCTGTGGAGGAAACACAGCCTGGCCAGCCCATTTTAAACTGTCCACCTCCAGAACTGGAAGATCATAAATGTGTGTGGTTTTAGGCCACTAAATTTGTATCATTTGTTACAGCAGCCATTGAAAAGGAATACAGACCCAGATGAGGTAAAGACTGGAGACTTGCTGGGGAAGGGCATTTCAGGTGGTAGGAACAGCAAATGCAAAGGCCCTGAGGTGCAAAGCAAGATGGTGCAGGAAGTGCTACAATAGAGGTCACATAGAGGGTACTCTGGGGACACACAGGAGGGCCTGCATGAGAGTGGGTAATTGTGGAAGAGCTCCTGGAGGAACGAATGCTTGCTCTGAGCCTTCAAAAGCACTGGCTATTCAACCCAATTGACCAGGATTCAAGCCCTGGCTCTGCCACTTATAAGTGATGTGGCCTTGGGCAAGCTACCTTTCTTCTCCAAGTCTCTGCTTTCTGATTTTTTTTTTTTTTTTTTTGAGATGGAGTCTCGCTCTGTTGCCCAGGCTGGAGTGCAGTGGTGCAATCTCGGCTCACTGCAACCTCTGCCTCCCGGGTTCAAGCGATTCTCCTGCCTCAGACTCCCGAGCAGCTGGGATTACAGGCATACACCACCATGCCTGGGTAATTTTTGTATTTTTAGTGGAGACAGTGTTTTGCCACATTGGTCAGGCTGGTCTCAAACTCCTGGCCTCAGGTGATCCACCCACCTCGGCCTCCCGAAGTGCTGGGATTTCAAGCGTGAGCCCCCTCGCCTGGCCTGATCTTTCATAAAGGGCTACGTGGTGGCATTATGGTAAACTAATTTTGGTTAAATTATTAGCCCAGTCTGTGGCATGTTTTAGGTGCTTACTGCATATTAGGTATGATAAAGAGGAGGACTGTGAGTTTAACATTGGAATTGAACAACTAGAGAAGAGTAGGGAATGCATTTTGGGTTTAGCACAGAACAGGTAGGAAAAGGCAAGAAGTATGACCAGGCACAGCCCAGTCTGAGGCATCCCATATTCTACGATTAAATAAATTAGGATTCCTTGTAGTCCTCCCTTCTCTGCCTATTTTTTCCCCCGTCAGGCTGGAATGCAGTGGTGTGATCATAGCTTAACTGCAACCTCGAACTCCTGGGCTTAAGGAATCCTCCCACCTTTGCCTCCTAAAGCTCTGGGATTACAGGTGTGAGCCACCCCACCTGACCCCTTCTCTTGCCTCTTTATCCAGTGGTGCTTACAGAGTCTGAGGCTGCCTTCACGCACCTTCCCTAGGGTAGAGGCTTGCAGCCCGTGGTGCTATGAGTAACCCTCTGTTGACTGCCCATTCTGCTCAGGGAACGGGCAAGAGTGTCAGAATGATTTACTGAGATCCAGCTCCTCTGATGAGGGGAGGGTCTCAGAGGCAGGAAGGAGGGTCAGTTGCACAGGCTCTGCAATCATACGGTGGCCTCCTGCCTCCTGCCAAGCTCTGCCAAGCTCTGCCAGGCCCCAGGCAAGTTGTAACGGTGGCTTCATTCACCTGGAGAGCAGTTTGGGTCTGGGCAAAAGCCTGTCAACTGTATGCAAACATATTTGCCTGAATTTATCTTTCAGCCCTTTCACAGTGTTTGGGTTTCTCTAGGCAAATGCTGTGCTTTGATACTCCTTTTCTTTGCGGTGTGTGTCAATAAGCGTTTTGAAATGTACCCATGTGGTGGTCAGGTCCAGTTTGCTGTAGTCTTGGAACTGTCTGACAAGGATGAGGAACAAAAGTGAATCTGCAAATGGGCATCTGAGAGGCTGGCAGCATTTGGAGGGGTAGGTTACAGGGGGTCACAGGCTGGCTACTCAAAGTGTGGTCCTCAGCTTAGCAGCATTGACCACCCAGGAGCTTGTTAGAAATGTGGAGTCTTGGATCCCACCAAAGACCTCCTGAATATCACTGCTCTTGCTCCAGGGACCCCACTCTAAGAACCACTGGATTGGACGAGAGGTGAGAAATGGGTTGCATCTTGAAAGCCAACTCTAATCAGTGTGTTAGCTACTGGGACCGCTGTGTTAAGTAGGGTTCTGAGGTTGTGTGATGCTTAGAGAAAAGAAGTACTGCACTCTTTTAGTCTTGTGTGCCACTGGTATAAGACGGAGACTTAGACAAGGCGTTGCTATCCCTGGATTTTCTGAGTGCTGTCTTAGGATTCCTTTATGAAACTGGAGAGAAGGAGCGAGGAATTAGGTGGAGCTCCATTTCCTAAGGACGGGGGGGGGGGGGAGTTAAGAAATTAGCCTTGCCAAGGACTTCATGACTAAAACACCAAAAGCAATGGTAACGAAAGCCAAAATTGACAAATGGGATCTAATTAAACTAAAGAGCTTCTGCATAGCAAAAGAAACTACCATCAGAGTGAACAGGCAACCTACAGAATGGGAGAAAATTTTTACAATCTACCCATCTGACAAAGGGCTAATATCCAGAATCTACAAAGAACTTAAACAAATTTACAAAAAAAAAAAATCAAACAACCCCATCAAAAAGTGGGTGAAGGATATGAACAGACACTTCTCAAAAGAAGATATTTGTGCAGCCAACAGACACATGAAAAAATGCTCATCATCACTGGCCATCAGAGAAATGCAAATCAAAACCACAATGAGATACCATCTCACACCAGTTAGAATGGCGATCATTAGGCCAGGCGCAGTGGCTCACACCTGTAATCCCAGCACTTTGGGAGGCAGAGGCGGGCGGATCACCTGAGGTCAGGAGTTCGAGACCAGCCTGACTAACATGATGAAACCCTGTCTCCACTAAAAATACAAAAAAAAAATTACCTGGTTATAATGGTGGGCGCCTGTAATCCAAGCTACTTGGGAGGCTGAGGCAGGACAATCGCTTGAACCCCAGAGGCAGAGGTTGAGGTTGCAGTGAGCTGAGATCACGCCATTGCACTCCAACCTGGGCAACAGAGCGACACACTGTCTCAAAAAAAAAAAAAAAAAAGAATGGCGATCATTAAAAAGTCAGGAAACAACAGGAGCTGGAGAGGATGTGGAGGAAATAGGAACACTTTTACACTGTTAGTGGGACTGTAAACTAGTTCAACCATTGTGGAAGACAGTATGGCGATTCCTCAAGGATCTAGAACTAGAAATATCATTTGACCCAGCCATCCCATTACTGGGTATATACCCAAAGGATTATGAATCATGCTGCTATAAAGACACATGCACACCTATGTTTATTGCGGCACTATTCACAATAGCAAAGACTTGGAACCAACCCAAGTGTCCATCAATGATAGACTGGATTAAGAAAATGTGGCACATATACACCATGGAATATTATGCAGCCATAAAAAATGATGAGTTCATGTCCTTTGTAGGGACATGGATGAAGCTGAAAACCATCATTCTGAGCAAACTATCACAAGGACAGAAAACCAAACACCACACGTTCTCACTCATAGGTGGGAATTGAACAATGAAAACACTTGGACACAGGGTGGAAAACATCACACACCGGGGCCTGTTGTGGGGTGGGGGAAGAGGGGAGGGATAGCATTAGGAGATATACCTGATGTAAATGACGAGTTAATGGGTGCAGCACACCAACATGGCACATGTATACATATGTAACAAACCTGCATGTTGTGCACAAGTACACTAGAACTTAAAGTATATATATAAAAAAAAAGAAATTAGCCTTGTCGGTCGGGCGCAGTGGCTCAAGCCTGTAATCCCAGCACTTTGAGAGGCCGAGGTAGGCAGATCACGAGGCCAGGAGATTGAGACCATCCTGGCTAACATGGTGAAACCCTGTCTCTACTAAAAATAAAAAAAAATTAGCTGGGTGTGGTCGCGGGCACCTGTAGTCCCAGCTACTCAGGAGGCTGAGGTAGGGGAATGGCGTGAACCTGGGAGGCGGAGCTTGCAGTGAGCTGAGATCACGCCACTGCACTCCAGCCTGGGAGACAGATCGAGACTCTGTCTCAAAAAAAAGAAAGAAAAAAAGAAATTAGTCTTGCCTGGGTGTAGCAGGAGGCTGAAAAAATTTAAAAAAATTAGCCAGATTGGTGGTATGCATCTGTAGTCCCAGCTACTTGGGAGGCTGAGATGGGAGGATCTCTTGAGTCTAGGCGTTTGAGGTTATAGTGAGCTGTGATCATGTCACTGCACTCTAGCCTGCTCAACAGAGTGAGAGCCTGTCTCAAAAAAGAAAAGGAAGGAAGGGACCGGGTGCAGTGGCTCACGCCTGTAATCCCAACATTTTGGGAGGCAGAGGTGGGAAGATCACGAGGTCAAGGGCTCAAGATCAGCCTGGCCAACATGGTGAAACCTCGTCTCTACTAAGAATACAAAAATTAGCTGAGCATAGTGGTGGGCACCTGTAATCCCAGCTACTTGGGAGGCTGAGGCAGGAGAATTGTTTGAACTCGGGAGGTGGGGGTTGAAGTGAGTTGAGATCACACCACTGCATTCCAGCCTGGGCTACAGAGCAAGACTCTGTGTCAGAAAAAGAAAAAAAAAGAAAAGAAAAGAAAAGGGAGGGAAGGAAGGAGGGAAAGAGGGAAAGAAAGAGAAAGAAAGAGAAAGAAAGAAAGAAAGAAAAAAGGAAGAGAACAAAAGAAAGAGAAAATTGGTTTCAATGCGTGTGCTGACTTGTGGCTATAACCTCAGATACTTGGGAGGCTGAGGTGGGAGGATGGCCTGAAGGCAAAAGTTGGAGGCTGCAGTGAGCTGGGACCACACCACTGCACTCCAATCTGGGCGACAGGGTAAAAGCGTATCTCAAAAAAAAAGAAGAAAAAAAAAAAAAAAAAGCAAGTTAGTCTCTGTGTGCCAGGACAGGACAGCTCAACCATTAAAAGTGTGGTGTTCCTGAGTATCTGAGACAGGCTACACAGAAGATCAACATTGGAAATCTCCAAGAGATCAACTTGAGTGCAACTCCCTCATTTCACAAAAAGAGGCTCAAAGAAGGATGGAATCTGCTCAAACACACACAGCTCGTTTGTTTGGATTCGCCTGGGCTCATGCTCTCAGAGCTCGTAAGAAAATTACTCAGGCCTTCAAACGCACCCGTCGAGGAAGGGAAGAAACTAGATCAGGCAGAAACTAGAAAGGATGTTTTTCGGACCCCCAAAGGCAGGCTGAGCCTATGACTCAGGAGGCATTTCGGGAACAGAGAGCTGGAAAAAAGAAGGGAGGGTCCCTGAAGGCCGGGGTGATGGAAGATAAGAAATTCGGATTTCAATCTCCCTACTTCCTCTGCTTCCTCAGACCCAGGCTGTATATAAACTGTATGCAAATGTGTTTACTTTACATTTTATTTCAATCGGAGTCACTCAGCTGTCGGGAGCTATGTCAACATGTCAGTCTGGTTGAGCAAACAAGCATTTTGAGTGGAAATATTTCAGATAAACAGACACAATGTTATGACATATCAAAACTCCCCAAACATGGAAAGAGGGTGGGGATGGTGGAGGAGAAGGGGGTGAAAAGCCGCAGAAAGGAGATCTATTTACCCTGGCACATGCGCTGTGTGGTCAGCTGAAAACAAAACAGGTTTTTTATTACTCGTGTGGTGTAGGGGGGAAGTTTCCCTTCTCTGTGGCGTTAATGCATCTTGTCAGCTGAAGAGAAGGCCTGCTTGGCGGGTTACCATGAACATTTCTCTTTGGTGTTCCTGCTGATTCTGCAGGAGGGAATCAGGCAAGAAAAGAAAAGAAAAACCCACCCGGATTAACTTAATTAGCGATGGGGAGGCCAGTTGCTTGGCGAAGTCCAACAACTTGTTTGAGGGTTGCCCTTGTTTTCGCTCCTTACTCGGGCTCTTTACAAACTGCCTTAAGGGGAGACACAAAGCAATGCCCTTGTTTGCGATCAGGGGTGGGGACGGGGGGTGTGCATGGCGGGGGGTGGGGTCGGGGCTGGGGGGGACCATGCGGACATTAGGCTACTCTCCTGCATGATGTATGTTTGTAAATTTCATCTTGGGAGTAGGTAATAAGGTTGCTTGGGTTCAATAACCAGAGGTATAAAAATGTATTTGGAGGAAAGTCTGTCTTCCTTCCTTCCTTCCTTTTTTTCTTTCCTTTCTTTCTCTCTTTCTTTCTTTCTTTTTCTTTCTTTCTTTCTTTTTTTCTTCCTTCCTTCCTTCCTTCCTTCCTTCCTTCCTTCCTTCCTTCCTTTTCTTTCTTTCTTCCTTTCCCTCCCTCCCTCCCTTCTTTCTTTTTTCTTTCTTTCCTTCCTTCCTTCCTTCTTTTTCTTTCTTTCTTTTTTTTTTCAGGTCATGCTCAGTTGCCCCCAGGCTGGAGTGCAGTGATGCAATTACAGCTCCCTGCAGCCTCGAACTCCCAGGCTCAAGCCATCCTCCCACCTCATCCTCCTGAGTAGCTGGGACTGTAGCTTACCACCACCCCCAGCTCATTTTAAAATTTTTGGAAGAGATGAGGTCTCGCTATGTTGCCCACAGGCTGGTCTCGAGCTCCTGGCCTCAAGTGATCCTCCTGCCTCGGCCTCCCAAAGCTTTAGGATTATAGGCATGAGCCACTGAGCCTGGTCTAAAGGAATGTTTTCTTCTCTTTCTTCATCTACTCATGTTTTCATCCCTCATCCCCAAACGTACATATACCCAGATTATATTTTGTTGGGTGACATTTCTTTTTAGTCCCCAAGCCATAGTCTGATGGGCTATGTCTAAAAGAAAATTCACCTTTTCTTTAAAATAATACACTGCTTATCCACACCTACAAGGTGCCGCCTTCTGTGGACATCCATTTTGATCATTCTCAAAGTTTGGAATTATTCACCTCCTGTTGGAGGCAGGAGCCTGAGGCCCAGAGGTGCAGGGGCACACCCATAGCCATACAGCTGGCCAGAGACAGAGCCAGAACTCAAACTCAGATCTGTCCAGCTCCAACGTCTACATTCTTCCAGCTCCACCAAATTCTTGGTTGAGCTTGCCGGGGAGAAACTGTGTAGCAAGGTAACTTTTGGAGGATTTGAGAGCCTCCAGCCAGCCCAGCTAGGCCAAACTTGTCCACTCCTGAAATGAAGTTGCCCAGAAAAAGAACTGCCTGCCTGTCCAAATGCTGGACTCAGCAGCTGCCTAGGGGATGCGCTCAAAAGATGTTGGCAAGTCCCCCACCGTCCAAAAATGTCTCCCCCTGCCACCTGTCACATGGCCTCAAATTCCACCCTCAGAAAGGTATGCCCCTGGGCTTCAATTTAAATACTTTTTTTGGGCACGGTTTCAGTGTAGACACTTTCCCTTGGAGAGGTTATACCTACGTCTTTCCCTCAAAGTCCCTTCTCAGCAGGGCGGCTAGCCCAGGGCTTGGGCTTGGAGGATGAGGTCACCATGTAGATATCTGGGGAGGTAAGGGGGGAACCAGGGGAAGGGAGCTAAAAAGGGGGCTGGGCAGACCAGGGATGGAGCCCAAGGGTCCTGACCAACAGTTGTATGGAGCATGGGGCTGCTGGGAGACAAAGCTTCATATGTTTCCCCGAGTGAGGGTCCCCGCAAGGCCCCACCTGTCTCCTTGCCAATCCCGGCTGGTGTGTTTTAGGTTGGAACCCTAAATAGCCATGCTAGGGGGCAGGGGAAGCCCAAGGCTTGTCATGGGCTCGTAGAATGTCACAGCTGCCACCCAGCAAGTCCTGTACTTCAGTCAGCCACGTTCCTTCTTAGCTCTGTTTTTCCATGATTACACCACCTGTAGGATTACTCTCTTCATATTTTCCTCTAAACCAACTCACTTAAAAAATTAAATAAACATCTATTTTAAGGCCTGCACACATGAGTCTTTCCCACCAATAAGGGATACAGACATAGTCAAGCTCTCTAGCTTTTGTGTGGCAAATGCAAGAATTATTTTTTAGAGGAAAGCAAGCATTCACGACATTTTCATTTTTTATGATTATTATTTTTTTGAGACAGAGTCTTGCTCTGTTGCCCAGGTTGGAGTGCTGTGGCGCTATCTCAGCTCACTGCATCCTCCACCTCCTGGGTTCAAGTGATCCTTGTGCCTCAGCCTTTCAAGTAGCTGGGATTACAGGTGTGCACCACCATGCCTGGCTAATTTTTGGATTTTTTTAGTAGACACTGGTTTTCCCCATGTTGCCCAGGCTGGTTTTGAACTTCTGGCCTAAGTGATCCACCCACCTTGGCCTCCCAAAGTGTTGGGATTATAGGTGTGAGCCACCACTCCCAGCCCATGAAAAATTTTTTTAAAAAGAAAACATTTAGATACACACACTTCAGTCTCTATTGCTGAAAGTTTGATTTGCTAATTGTATTTTTCTTCTCCTTCTCCTTCTTCTTCTTCTTTTCTTGGGACAGACTCTCACTCTTGTCATCCAGGCTGGAGTGCAGTAGCATGATCTCGGCTCACTGCAACCTCCACCTCCTGGGTTCAAGTGATTCTCTTGCTTCAGCCTTCCAAGTAGCTGGGATTACAGGTGCTCACCACCAAGCCCGGCTAATTTTTTTTGTATTTTTAGTTGAGATGGGATTTCACCATGTTGGCCAGTCTGGTCTTGAACTCCTGACCTCAGGTGATCTGCCTGCCTTGGCCTCCCAAAGTGCTGGGATTATAGGCGTGAGCCACTGTGCCCCGCCAATTGTATTTACTTTCTAGTACATGGTAAAATGAACTATTAGAGTAAAAATTAGTGGCCATCCAGATGCTCTCATAAATCATATGAAAGGTATTATGTCTTGCTCAAGTCACCAATTTTATGTAGAAGGAAACAGGTTCAAGAGAGAAAACTTGGGCAGGGGACACAGCTGGCTGGGAGCAGGATGAGGCCCAAGAGGCATCATGGAGACAGAAAGACCCGTGGATGGGGAGTCAGGAGACCCTGACAATAGCTCCAAATCTAAAAGCAGAAGCCACTTCTGTTTCCTATCTGGGTCTTGATTTCCCCAACTATGAAACAGGAAAATGATGTTACTATGGGGGCTCTAAAACTAGGAGGAATTAGAGATGGATTTGAAATCCTGGAAATTTTTTTTCTTTTATTGAGTCGAGATTCACTTAACATAAAATTAACCATTTTACTTTTTCTTTTCCCTTTTTTTTTTTTTTTGAGATAGATTCTCACTCTTTTGCCCAGGTGGGCATGTAGTGGTGTGATCTTGGCTGACTGCAGCCTCCGCTTCCCAGGTTCAAGCGATTCTCCTGCGTCAGCCTCCAGAGTAACTGGGATTACAGGTGTGCACCACTACACTCGGCTAATTTTTGTATTTTTAGTAGAGACGGAGTTTTGTCATGTTGGTCAGGTTGGTCTTGAACTGCTGACCTCAAGTGATCCGCCCGCCTTGGCCTCCCAAAGCGTTGGGATTACAGGCATGAGCCACCACACCCGGCCAGATTCTTTGATTCTTGACTTCCAGCTCAGCAGCTCCACACTAAGAAGGCCTTGTCCTCCTTCCTTTGTTGTTTAGTTTGCTTTAAGCAGCCTCCTCTAAGCCGGGAAGTGAACTGGGCAAGGAGGATCCAACTATCAGGGCTTCTAAACTCCGTGGCGGTGGACAGAGGTGGGAGACCTGGGCTCATGGGAGGCTCTCTAGAGAAGGCGACATTAACTAGCTTTTGAAGGTTGTCTGAGTGGGCCAAGAGGTGGGAAAGGTGATTCTGAATGAGGAGATGGCGCTTCCCAGTCGTGTTGGCTTGGCAGGGACAGAGCTGGCTGGAGCTGCCTTTCCTCCCCCACGCTGCTCTGAGATCCTGGAAGCACAAGTGCTTGGAAATGCTGTGTCTCCCTGACCCACCCACTCATCAGTGGAGCAGATGCGGGCCATTACTCTGATTGCTGCTGAAAGCGGTGGCTGGGGCCCAGGGCACGTCTGAGGATCACTGAGGGCCCTGGGAAAGTGGGGGCCCTACAGAGGGTCAGCCCCCACACACCCCAGAGGCAGGTGTTCTGCAAGCTTCCCATAGAGGCCTGCCAAGATTGTCCTCCTGCTATGCGGCACGCACGCAGGCGTGCCATTTCAGCTCTGGGCCTCTCTCCTGGAGCAGCTGGCAGGGGCATCTGTGGGTGGTGAACAGGACGGGGGGCCGGAGACCCTGGCTGACCTGTAGCCCTTGGGCCTGGAACTTCTCCCGCTTGTGTGCCTGGGTTGCAGATTTTCCGGGCACCTTCTTGGTAGAAGGCAGGCGGGATCTGGTTTCACGGCGAATTCAAAAGGGGCAAAGCAACGCGGCGCCTCCTGAATTCCTGGCCCTGCGAACGTCATGTCGTTAACGTGTTATTTATGGCACCCTCCTGACTCTGCTGTCATGTTAGGCCTCTGGGTGGGGCATTGTGCCCTCGCCAATCAATCAGCCAACCAACCCAATAGGCCCACTAACCAGCGTTAACCAGCTAGCATTTGTTCACTTATATGCCGCCAATTATTGTTTTAGAAGCTGCAAAGAATGGGTTCTTCCATATCTTTTTGCATAACCTGCATGTATGTTGCTTTATTTGTGCAATTAATGTGGTATATTGGTTTGTTACTGTGGATCCTCTCTTTAAAAAAAATTGTGATTAAAAAAACACATGACATAAAATTTTTCATCTTAACCATTTCTAAATGTACAATTCAGTAGCGTTGTTTATTCACATTTTTTTTTTGCAACAAATCTCTAGAATTTTTTAATCTTTCAAGACGGAAACTCTGTGCCAATTATTATTACTATTTTCTTTTTTTTTAATTTTAGAGACAGAGTCTCACTATGTCGCCCAGGCTAGAGTGCAGTGGCATGATCACTGTTCACTACAGCATTCGCCTCCTGGGGGCCCAGGAGATCCTCCCACCTCAGCCTCCCCAATAGCTGGGACTAGAGGTGCACACCACCACACCTGGCTATTTTTTTTTTTTTTTTTTTTTTTTTTTTTTAGAGATGAGTTCTTGCCATGTTGCCCAGACTGGTCTTAAATCGATCCTCCTGCTTTGGCCTCCCAAAGTGCTGGGATTGCGGGAGTGAGCCACTGCACTCAGGAACTCTGTACGCATTAGATACCAACTCCCTGGTCTTTCCTCCCCCAAACTCCTGGTAACCACTGTTCTAGTCTCTGTTTCTATGAATTTACCTACTTTAGCTGCCATGTAGAGTAGAATCACACAGTGTTTGGTTTTTGGTTTGTTTTGTTTGTTTTTTATTTTGTTACCTTAGTTTAACAACCCTGCAGAAAAAGTATTTGTTGGCCAGGTGTGGTGGCTCACGCCTGTAATCCCAGCACTTTGGGAGGCTGAGGCAGGCAGATCACCTGAGGTCGGGAGTTTGAGACCAGCCTGGCCAACATGGTGAAAACTCGTCTCTACTAAAAATACAAAAATTAGCTGGGTGTGGTGGCGCACGTCTGTAACCCCAGCTACTCAAGAAGCTGAGTCACGAGAATCCCTTGAACCCAGGAGGCAGAGGTTGCAGTCAGTTGAGATCGTGGCACTGCACTCCAGCCTGGGAGACAGAGTGAGACTCAGTCTCAAAAAAAAAAAAAAAAAGAAAGAAAGAAAGCAACAGGAGATACCACTTCCCACCCATTAGGAGAGCTGCTGTTAAAAAAGTAAATGAGGCCGGGTGCAGTGGCTCACGTCTGTAATCCCAGCACTTTCGGAGGCCGAGGCGGTCAGATCACTTGAAGCCAGGAGTTTGAGTCCAGTCTGGCCAACATGGTGAAACCTTGTCTCTACTAAAAATACGAAAATTAGCCAGGCTTGGTGGTGCATACTTGTAATCCCAGCTACTCGGGAGGCTGAGGCACGAGTATCCCTTGAACCCAGTAAGTGGAGGTTGCAGTGAGCTGAGATGGCACCACTGCACTTTCACCTGGGTGACAGAGTGAGACTCTGTCTCAAAAAAAAAAAAAAAAAGAAAGAAAAAGTGTTTGTTTTTTTGTAACTGGCTTCTTTCTCTTAACATAATGTCCTCAAGGTCCATCCTTGTTGTGGCATGTGACAGGATTTTCTTATTCTTTAACGCCAAGTAATATTCCATTACATGGATCTATCATAATCTCTTTATCCATTATCCATCAATGGACACGTGGGTTGCTTCCACTGCTTGGCTGTTGGGAATGATGTTGCTAAGAAGGTGGGTGTACAAATAGTGCATTCTTTTTTCTAAAACAATTAAAAATTTAGCTATACAATTAAGACCTGACTTAAAAACTCTCCTTAAAAAATATTAAACCTACGTAAAGAAGACTAAAATCTCTGTAGCCACCTCCTTCAGTCTCTCCATCCCTAATGATAAATTGATTGACTGCTATCAGCTTATTAAAGTGGACTCTATCCATCCATACACACACATCCATGAACATATTTGTGTGTGTATAAGAATATATCTAGTATCTTTTTAGGAAAAAAACAAGTATGCAGTCAGTTCTGCTACAATAATTAAAATCAAAGCACTATGCAAAATCACACATTAAAAGTCATAGGGTGGCCGGGCCAGGTGGCTCACGCCTGTAATCTCAGCACTTTGGGAGGCAGAGGCGTGATTGGATCACAGGAATTCAAGACCAGCCTGGCCAACATGGTGAAACCCTGTCTCTACTAAAAATACAAAAAAATTAGCCAAGCATGGTGGCGCATGCCTGTAATCCCAGCTACTTGTGAGGCTGAGGCAGGAGAATTGCTTGAACCTGGGAGGTGGAGGTTGCAGTGAGCTGAGATCGTGCCACTGCACTGCAGCCTGGGCAACAGAGCGAGACTCCGTCTCAAAAAAAAAGTTATAGGGAAGGGAACAGCACTCAAAAACTTTGTCAGTGACACGTAAAAAAATAGGAACCTAATAAAAATAATAGCACAATTTTACACATGTTAAATGGTTAAAAATATACGTAAATGCTGCAATAAAAATGGTACATTGGAAAAGTCCTAAAGTTTGTTTGTGCAAGTAGGCGTCAGAAGGGTTTCAGCTTGTGAGTTCCTGGAAAGCGGTGGAGGGAAGTTGTCTGAAATCTTAAAGTTGTGACACCAGGTGTGGATGGGTGTGGCTCGTAGCACGCAGAGATTGCTGAGGCAGCTGGTGGGTGTTTGCAGTGTGTTTATTTTGTGTATTCCTATGTGGCTTGGTTCAGCTGGGTGTAGTTTTCTGCATTCATCCAGTGTTTCTTTTGAATAAAATCATGCATAGCAAACACAAAATTTGGTTATGCTCAAATTGTTCCTGAATATATCAATCACATTGGAGGAAATTTATATTTTCTTTTCTTTCTCTTTTTTTTTTTTTTTTTTTTTTTGAGATGGAGTCTCTCTCTGTCACCCAGGCTGGAGTGCAATGGTGTGATCTCGGCTCACTGCAACCTCTGCCTCCCAGGTTCAAGTGATTCTCCTGCCTAAGCCTCTCAAGTAGCTGGGATTACAGGTACCCGCTACCATACCCAGCTAATTTTGTATTTTTAGTGGAGACAGCATTTCACCATGTTAGCCAGGCTGGTCTCAAACTCCCAACCTCACGTGATCTGCCTACCTTGGCTTCCCAAAGTGCTGAGATTACAGGCATGAGCCACCGTGCCCAGCCAAAATTTATGTTTTCAAAACAAGCATTGTAGCAGAACTGACTACACACACACACACACAGAGAAAATAAATGGTACTTTTTTGGTGTATTAGTATTTTTACATAAATTGTAAAAATTCATACCGTGTACATACTTCTGTAACCTATTGTTACTCTTATTATTTGCTTAACAACATTCCTAAGAGACCTTTCCATGTTAGTAATAATAAATTCATCATGTTTCCTCTGCTGTATAGCATTCCATTGAGTGGAATGAATTCTATTGAATGAATGCACTGCATTTACTAGCTATTGCCGTATGCATGGCATGCAGGCATATATGTTATTTTCAGTGGTTCATTATCACAAACAATCCTGCATTTAAGCTTCTTTCTTTCTTTTTTTTTTCTTTTTTTTGAGACGAAGTCTTGCTCTGTCACCCAGGCTGGAGTGCAGTGGTGTGATCTTGGCTCACTGCAACCTCCGCCTCCCAGGTTCAAGTGATTCTCCTACCTCAGCCTCCCGAGTAGCTGGGACTACAGGCAAGTGCCACCAAGCCCAGCTAATTTTTTGCACTTTTAGTAGAGACGGGGTTTCACCGTGTTAGCCAGGATGGTCTCGATCTCCTGACCTCGTGATCCACCCGCCTGTGCCTCCCAAAATGCTGGGATTACAGACGTGAGCCACCGCACCGGGTCATGTCTCCCTGTGTACACCTGTAGAATTGTCTCTGGCTAGACCGATTCACTGGGTCACAAGGTAATGTATACTTTGTTTTTCCTTTAAGAATGATATCTTGCCTAGGCCAGGAATCATGTGGCTCATGCCCGTAATCCCAGCACTTTGTAGGGTTGAGGCAGAAAGATCACTTGCGGTCAGGAGTTTGAGAATGATATCTTTTTTTGGAGTCAGGAGAGGGCACTTGGATATGAACCGGGGACCTCTTGATAGAGAATGATATCTTAATTCATTAATTATATTGTGGCAAAATATACATAACAAAAGCTACCATTTTAATGCCATTAAAACATTTATTTGACTTTTTTTTTTAACATATATATTTTTAGAGACAAGGTCTTGCTCTGCTGTTGAGCCTGGAGTGCAGTGGTACAATCATAGCTCACTGCAGCCTTAAACTCCTGGACTCAAGAGATCTTCCTGCCTTAGTCTCCCCAGGAGGTGGGACTACAGGTGTGCACCACCATGCCTGGCTAGTTTTGTTATTTTTATTTTTTGTAGTGACAGGGTCTCGTTACTTTGCCCAGGCTGGTCTTGAACTCCTCACCTAAAGCTATCCTCCTGCCTCAGCCTCCCAAAGTGCTGGGATTACAGGTGTGAACCATGGCATCTGGCCTTGACTTTATTTTTTAGAGCAGTTTTAGATTCAGAGCAAAGCTCATTTTAACCTTTATTTTAATTTTATTTTATATCACTTTTTTTGAGACTGAGTCTCGCTCTGTTACCCAGGCTGGAATGCAATGGCACAATCTTGGCTTTCTGCAACCTCTGCCTCCCAGGTTCGAGTGATTCTCCTGCCTCAGCTTCGCAGGTAGCTGGGACTACAGGCACCCACCACCATGTCTGGCTACTTTTTGTATTCTTAGTAGATATGGGGTTTCAGCATGTTGGCCAGGCTGGTCTCGAACTCCTGAGCTCAGCCCGCCTCGGTGATCTGCCCGCCTCGCCTCCCAAAGTGCTGGGATTACAGGCATGAGCCTGGCCCCATTTTAACCGTTTTTGACTCCACTGTTCAGTGGCATTAAGTAGATCCACATTGACCATCACCACCATCCATCTCTAGGATTTTTTTTAATCATTCTAAACTGAAACTCCATATTCCTTAAACAGTAACTCCTCACAGTCTTGGGTTCAAATCTGGCCCCCCACCTCATGCTGTGTGACCTTGAACAGTTTCCTCATCTGTAAATTGAAGGGAAGAGTGCATACCTCCTGGGTATGGGCTGATAATGGCATGAAGTAACACTGGGCGTGAGCTGAACTTCTTGCTTGGCACACTGTAGGTTCTTAATAAAAAGTTGTCATTATCATGCGAAATTGACCATATGCCCCATGATGCTCTGTTTTCTGATTTGTCTGACACCTGGTTCCTGTGAATGGGGGTGTTACATGGAATGCACGTAGCGTGGCTTGCTGGGATCCCTAGCTGAGGAACGGTGGAGTGTCCAGAAACTTCCAAGAGGATGAGAACTTCACCCATGTTACTCTTACAGCTATTACTGTAGATGGAGTTTCTAGGTCCCTCCCTGCTCACCCCCTGCCCTACTCCAGGGCCCAGGCCAGGCCTTAGGGCTCTAGGGAGTGACCCATTTTCAGTCTCGGTTGGTGCCAGCCTGCCTACTCGGGCTGCCAGTTACAGTGTGCACGGTAGCAAATGGATTGAGGTCACGGAGCAGATGGCAGTAACTTTCAGTTGAGATCTGCCAGGCTGCCTTGGAACCAGTGACCCGGAGGTAAACACATGTGCATGACCTCCTCTCCCCCTTTGGTCCATAAGTCTGGAAACTCGCCCCTTTCCAACGCCTGTTCGGGCTTCACTACAGGGGGCTAGACTGTCCTTTTATACTTCTTGGGCTCCCATGAGCAGGAAAGAAACTTACATTCTCACAGGCAGCAGCTACATTTCAGCCTCCACCGCTCTTGGCTCCACCCTTTTTCAGTGAGCTCAAAGCACTTTTTTCTCTTCAGCTCATTAATGTGATGCTATCCTTGGGGGTTATCATTAATCCCGTTTTATAGATGGAGAAGTGGCGGTAGGGGGAAGCTGGGACAGGGACCCATAATGCCTGTGGGTCAGAAGGAATTTATGTGGCCATGTCTTAACACACAGGTGAGTGGATGGGAGCACAGGATGTATTAGCTGGATTAAATCAATTGAAAATGCTACTCTGAAAACATACCCCAAGAAACAGAAGTATTTTTTTCCACCTCGTAATATCATAGCCCTGTGGCTTTTTAACTTTGGTTCACAGAACTCTTGGAGAATCCAAAGGAAGCTAGGGATTCTCTGCACATAGATATATGTTTATGTATATGTCTTACTGTTGACTTTCTCTTCAGGGTCAAAAGCAGCACTAGGCATCATATAGGTGCTCAATAAATATTTGTTGACTGACTGACTGAATGAATGAATGAATGAATGAACGATTCATGAAAGCCCTGGCTAAGTACTTCTAGCCTGATGCAATTAAAAAGGGGAGGTTAAAAGAGAGAACAAAAAGCATTTTCTCATATTCTTAATCTTACGGAAGTTAATTGTTCCATTCTGCAAATGGGAAAACTGAAGTAGGGTTCTCAACATCTGGGAAATCCTACATAAAATCCCAAGTAGCATGACTCTTATTGTAGAATGCTCCTAATGGATTTGGAAGCCTTGGGACACATGATGAACAGGTTTGTAGTTGAGGACAATCACAGCTTGAAGAAAATTCCCAATGTTTCCTCAATTTCTGCCAAGACTCACCTTCTTCTCAGCCTTTGAACATTCTAAAATGCTGTCCCTCTGAAGACTGATGGAATCCTAGCATGCTGTGTTCTTGAGAAAGATCCACAGTGTTTCTATAGAATCTGGAAGAATCTGGAAGGTCCTTGGAGCAATGAAGACAAATTTATTAGAGAAAGCAGGAGGGAAGAAATGAAAATCTGAAGCCAAGATTTCTCAGTGGCGGTTTTTTTTTTTCTTTCTATACCTTAGCTGCTGCCCTAGAACCTTCCCTGGGGCCGGGTGTGGTGGCTCATACCTGTAATCTCAGCACTTTGGGAGGCTGAGGCAGGAGGATTGCTGGAGCCTGAGAGTTTGAGGCCAGCCTCAACAACATAGTGGGGCCAGTCTCTACAAAAAAATTAAAAACTAGCCAGGGGTGGTAGTGCCTGCCTGTAGTCGCAGCTACTCGGGAGGCTGAGGTGGGAGGATGGCTTGAGTCCAGGAGTTCAAGGATGCAGTGAGCTGTGATTGTGCTACTGCACTCCAGCCTGGGCAACAGAGTGAGACCCTGTCTCAAAAACAAAAACAAACAAACAAAAAACAAAAACAGGCCAGGCGCGGTGGCTCACGCCTGTAATCCCAGCACTTTGGGAGGCTGAGGTGGGTGGATCACTTGAGGTCAGGAGTTCGAGACCAGCCTGTCCAACATGCCGAAACCCCATCTCTATGAAAAATACAAAAATTAGCCAGGCATGGTGGGGGGCGCCTGTAATCTCAGCTACACAGGAGGCTGAGGCGGGAGAATCACTTGAACCCAGGAGGCAGAGGCTACAGTGCGCTGAGATCATGCCACTGCACTTCAGCCTGGGTGACAGAGCGAGACTCTGTCTCCGAACAAACACATGCACGCGCACGCGCGCACACACACACACACACACACACACACACAAAGAATCTTCCCTGGTCGGGGACAGTGTGTTAGGAAAGGCCTGGAACAAGCAGAGCATGGTAGGAGGGGCTCTGGATTTGACATCAGAAAGTCTGGGATTGAATTGTGGCTCTGTCACACTCCAGCTGTCACCTCATCCTTCTGGCCTTCAGTTTCCTGACCTGTAAATTGGGGCAACAGCATTGGTATCCAATAGGTTGTTGCTACAACAACCTATTAGATACCATTTGTGGGATGGTCTTGGCACACAGGAGGTACCTAGCTCCTCCTGGTGTGTAGGGATCTGAATGGTGGACAAAGGCTGGGGCTATTTGGGGTTGGGACCATGAGATTTTCTTCAGGGTGCATTGGAGGGTGATTTTACAAGCTGTCCTCCGGGTGAAGGCCTGGCAAGCTGGTAATGTGAGGGCTAATGACAGTTCTGATCAATCACAGCTTGCCTTTGCAGCGGCACTTTCATGTAGAGGATCCCCAGGCCTTCTGTAGCCACTGGCTAAAGCCAGGACCTGCCCCACCTCTGCCCTAATAGCACTACTCCTTTAATAGACGACCTTTCATCCCGGCATCAGGCAGAGCTTAATAATCATGATCTCTGGCCCCTGCTCCACCCCAGCCTGCAGTTTATTGGCCACATTATTAACCTTGATAATTTCTGCCCTAGAGGAGGAACTGTGGCACCAAAGGAGCTAAGGGACTTGCCCCGGACTCTGCCACAAGCTCTGGCTCCCAGATCAGCTTCTTCTGATGCCCAGCCTGCTACTCTATCCTGTAGATGCCCTCCTGGGAGGTTGAGAAGTGGCACGTTCAGGGAGATGGACTGTGCTTTTACACATACAGCATGACTGATGATTTTTTTTTTTGAGATTGAAATAGCTTATTTAATTTTTTACCCGTTGATTGGTTTTATTCCTTCCAATAGATTTTAAATTCTTTTTTAAAATTTATTTATTAAAGAGATAGGGTCTTGCTATGTGGCCCAGTCTAGTGTCAAACTCCTGGCCTCAAGCCATCCTCCTGCCTCAGCCTCCTGAGTAGCTGGGATTTTGATTTTAAATTCTATGCCATCAGGGACCTTGTTTTTCCTATTCACTTCGGTTTCCCTAGCCCCTGGAACAGTGACCAGCACAGAGCAGGTATTTAATAAACCCCTGAATTATTGTTTGTTTGTTTGTTTGTTTTGAGATGGAGTCTCGCTCTCTCACCCAGGTTGGAGTGCAGTAGCACAATCTTGGCTCACTGCAACCTCCACCTCCTGGGTTCAAGTGATTCTCCTGCCTCAGCCTCCCTAGTAGCTGGGACTACAAGCACGTGTCACCATGCTGCTGCTAATTTTGGTATTTTTAGTAGAGATGGGGTTTCAGCATGTTGGCCAGGCTGGTCTTGACTCCTGAGCTCAAGCGATCCACCCATCTCGGCCTCCCAAAGTGCTGGGATTACAGGCATGAGCCACCGTGCCCGGTCTATCCCTTGATTTTTGAATGAATAAATGTAAAGTAGACTCTACTATGGGCCAGTGGAGACACTTAAAGGAGGAGAGAGCATGGAAGATGGGCTTTGAAGGATGAGGAGTTCTCCAAGTGAAGATAGGAGTGTGCATTTTGGGCAGAGCGTAAAGCATAATCAAAGACATGGAGAGAAATACAAAAGTGGATAACGTTTGCAAGACAGTGAGACGGTCCCAGTGTTGGGCAGGAGGGAACATATGATAGGAGATACGGCTTGAAAGCTCTGCTGGGTTCATATTCTTCAGTAAGGAATTGGACTTTGCTCCGAAGGGAACGTGGAATGACACAGTCAGATTTGAACTTTAGCAAGGCCCCTTGGGCAGGGATGATGTTGATGGTTGGGGCCTGTGGTAGGTGCGCTGGGGAGAGATGTTGAGGCTCTGAGCTAAAGGCAGTGATGTTGGGAAGAGTGTTGGTGGGCAGAGGATAGAGGTGGACCTATTAAAAAACTAACTGGTTATTTGCAATCTTTATGAAACTTTGATCATTCCATCCAAGTGGAGATCCACACTCGTCTACTCTCAACAGCCACTTGCTGACAACCACTTCTCTTCCTTCTACAT
This sequence comes from Homo sapiens, assembly GCF_000001405.40. Lineage (NCBI taxonomy): Eukaryota > Metazoa > Chordata > Mammalia > Primates > Hominidae > Homo > Homo sapiens. The sequence goes on from NC_000012.12 coordinate 114,827,950, forward strand.
TGGATTTTTAAATCATTGATGGTAACTTTTCCAAATTTCATTGCCTTTCAAAAAAATATTTTTTGTGTGTGCACTTGTTAGGCATTTAATCCATAAACACCTCATAACAAATTAAAGAGACCTTTACCTTTCATTTCTTGGAGCTGAGTTTCGAGGTCATTTAACAACGCCCTCCTTACCACGCAGCATGTTGGAAGGAGACAGGATTCTTGAATTTCATTGTTGTCTCTGCTTGATGTGTGAGCTTAGGCAGGTTCATGTTCCCTCTCTGGGTCTCAGTTTCTTCTTCTGTAAAAGGGAGTTGGACTATCATTAATTTTCTAAAGTGTATTCTATGGAATGCTCATTCGGATAAATCCTCTATTTAAAAGCAGAGGAGGATTGTTGGTCAAATATATTGGGGAAATGTGCATCCTCTATCCCCATACTGCAGATTGACAAAGATGATTGTGTATTAAATGCTCTAAGAAGTCTTGTAGTCAAGAAGCTGTGTTAAATGTTTAATGTGAATCTCTAAGTGGGGGCAGTCAAGAATGCAGTATTGATTATGGAGCATTTTCCCCTTATAGAGTATCATAAGACACTAGTTTAGTGGGTGACCAATTTTGGGAACTCTGACTTACCAGGTTTATTTAGATCTCTAATGTTTATTTCTTGTGCTTTTGCTCTTTCTCACGTACCAGTAATAAAGCTTGCTGAGGAAGAGACCAGCTTTATAATCCTGTATTTTCTTTGAAGGGCTATTTGCTCACAAAACCATTTATTAAGCATACTTTTGGTGGGCTACATTCTGGACAAGTTATTTTTTCACTGTGTTGTGTATATGTGTGTGTATGTGTGTGTAGCTACTTAACATCTAAATATCTTTCTTATTTAGGGGAAATTAGAAAACGGGAGAGACAAGGCTTCTAATCTCTACATAAGCTGGGGGTGAGGTGAGGGTGGGTAGTGTGCATATTTTCTCTCTCCATTCCCTAGAAGCTAGGGTGTGTCAAGTGATTACTGCTCAGCTGATTAGATATTCCTGCCCAGGACAGAAATAACAACCTTGGAGTGACATTGAAACCACTTAGCATTTATCCCAGGGTCAGTGGGCAGTGGTGGTGATGGCGAGACCTGAGGCATTCTAACATGGCTATTACTATGTTGATACATTGTCTGGTGTTCTTGCCACCTTGCCTCCCTTCTTTCTCTCCCACTATCCTTGCAAATTCTATGAGCCATCCAATAGCCCAAACACTTATTTTCTACCTCAATTAGAGTTAGCTGGTTGCAACTAAGAATCTGGACTGCTCTGTAAAACCCATCCATTCATTCATCTGTCTATCCATCTATCCATCCATCCATCCATTGAAAACATCTGTCCATCCATCCATCCATCCATCCATCCATCCATTGAAAACATCTGTCCATCCATCCATCCATCCATCCATCCATCCATCCATTGAAAACATCTATTCATCCATCTATCCATCCATCCATCCATCCATCCATCCATTTGTCTATCCATTTGTCTATCCATTTGTCCATCCATCCATCCATCCATCCATCCATCCATCCATCCATTCATCCACCAATTGAAAACAGTTATCCATCTAAACATCCATCTATCTACCCAAATATCCATTCATCCATCATTTGCCCATCCATTTCTCTAACATAACAGGTACTCAGCTAGACACTGGGCATGAAAAGATGAATACATCAACAGGGACAGGAAATAACAAGAAACAAACACCATATTCAAAGCTGGGAATTTGCAGAGTTTCACAAAGGAACTATTAACAAAAGTGTGGGCTGTGTTTAGGAACAGGAATAGCACAATACTCTGGGACTGGAAACATTACCAGCCCTAGGCCTGAAGAGGTGAGAGCAGGGAGCAGTTTTTAGAATCTGGAGACAGGGTTTGGAGAGGTCTCCTGACCAGCTGTGGCCTTTGGTACAGACACAGTCAACCTGTGATGACCTGGCAGGGAGTGGACTCGGGGCATAGATCCCTTGTCAACACAGTCACCCCTTTCTCTGATCTCATGCCAGAGTAAGAGAAAACATTGAATTAGGCCATACAGGGCAGCCTCCTGAGCACAGAATAGGATGAAGAAGGGTGGAGAGTGGATCTAGAGAGCCAAACGGAAGACATCCAGCACAACCGCGTCAGTGAAATCATATCACTTTCCACTCAAATCTTTCTTTCTCTCTCTTTCTTTCTTTCTCTTTCTTTCTTTTTCTTTCTCTCTTTCTTCCTTTCTTTCTTTCTCTTTCTTCTCTTTCTCTTTCTTTTCTTTTTTTCTTTTCTTTTCCCTCCCTCCCTCCCTCCCTCCCTTCCTTCCTTCCTTCCTTCCTTTCTTCCTTCCTTCCCTCTGTCCCCTCTCTCTCTCTCTCTCTTCCTTTTTTTTTTTTTTTTTGTTCAGGGTCTTGGTCTGTCACCCAGGTGGAAGTGCAGTGGCACGATCATGGCTCACTTCAGCCTGACCTCCCAGACTCAAGTGATCCTCCCATCTCAGCCTCCTAAGTAGCTGGGACCACAGGCACACACCACCATGGTTGGCTAATTTTCTGATTTTTTCGTAGAGATGGTGTCTTGCTATGTTGCCTACGCTGGTCTCAAACTCCTGAGCTGAAGCAATCGTCCTGCTTCGGCTTCCCAAAGTGTGCTGGTATTACAGGCATAGGCCACCACACCTGGCCTCAAATACTTCTTGTACATTCTATGAGCTACCCAGTTTCCAGAACATTTATTTTCTGCCTCAGTTAGAGTCATTTGGTTACAACCAAAAATCCTGAATGCTCTGACAAATACGTGTATATATCCATCCATCCATCCATCCATCCATCCATCCAAACATTCATCCATCCATCCAAACATCTATCTATCCAAACATACATCTACCATCCAAATATTCATTTATCCATTAAAACATCCATCCATCCATCCATCCATCCATCCATCCATCCATCATCCAACCACCATCAATCCAAATATCCATCCACCTCCAGTTATACTACACTCAAATAAAAGCCAAACTATTAATATTAGTGCCCTTCAGTCTTTCCATGACTTGTTCCCCTCCATACACCATGACCCATCTCCCTTCATCTCTTCCTTATTCCCCTCTGAATTCCTTCCACTCCAGCTATACTGTCCTTCACGTAACCTTCTAGATAAGCTCCTGCCTCGTACCTTTATTCGTGACGTTTCCTCTTCCTGGAACACTCGTCCCTTATTTATCCTCATAGCTCCCCCTTTGCTTTCCCCAAGTTTTTACTCAAATGCTATCTTGCCTGTCTACCCTTCATCAAACACCAACTCCTCTCCACCACTCTCATGTTGTTGTTTATCTGCGTTTCCTGACTTATTTTTCTGTTTATCATGTTTTACCATCTCACATTCTCTGTGTGTGTGTATAAAACTTGTCTTTCTTGTTTATTGTGTGTCCTCTCCTAAACTATTCCCAGTGGAATATAAATTCTAGAATGAAATAATTTTTTGCTGTTTTGTATATTCCTGTATTCTCAGCACCCAAAAGAATCCCTGATGCACAGAAAGTGTTAATGAATCCTGGTTGAGTACATAAATGAAGAGACTCAAACAGCTCTGTGAAAGTTTCTGACTTGCTATTGGAGGAGAATTGAGCCAAAGCCTTTCTGTGAGAGTTTCTGTCAACTCATTTTATCCCTAGTACTGCGCAGGCTGAAACTCAAGTAAGAGTTAATAGGCTACTCGTGCCCTTAGGAAACATCCTGAACTTTCCATGCAAGCTGTGGACTTGGCTCTTATTGACTTCTTGTCCTGCTTAGGAAAACCTGAGGGTAAGGAAGGAAAAAGTGAACACTTCACACATTCATCTTCAAAGCACTTAATAAATGCTCAAGTAATTAATTCCCCTGGCTCGCTAAGAGGTGGATTTTATTGTTTTCGTTCTGGCAATAGGGAAATGAATGTGCCGAGGAGTTCCGTCATTTTCCCAGGACCATGGAGCGAGTTGTGAGTGGTGCCAGAATTGTATTGGCACCCGCTGAGGTTCTGGTGGGAGGCCTCCTACTTCCCTGTTGGTGGGCAGAGGAGTGGAGCGGGGTGGAAAATAGTGTAGACAGTCTTGGAGAATGGCTTTCTCTCATTTTCAGAGAAGTTTGGGAGCTGAGCACTTGGGATGCTGCAAAGAAATAGGAACCCACCCCCATCCATCTTTCTGCAAGTGTTTCAGGGCTAAGCCAAGGCTTCAGGATGAACTTGAAGGAAATGAGCTCCTTCCCAATGCAAGTCATGACAAATTAGGAAATCATTGAAGGAGCGGTTTTTGGTACCCTTGGCTAATCAGGGTCCATCCATGGTCCTCAGCCTAATGCTCCAGACATTTCCTTCATCTCTTCCCCAGCAAAACTCACCTATCTGATTTCCCATTCTATCAACTGTTCTACTCTGAGAGGAAGGCTACCAAGGGGGCTAATTATTTATTTATTTATTTTAGAGACATGGTCTCACTCTGGCACCCAGACTGGAGTGCAGCGGGCATGATCATAGCTCACAGCAGCCTTGAACTCTTGGGCTCTAGTGATCCTCCCGTGTAGCTAGGGCTACAGGCATGTGCTACCCAGCCTGGCTATCTTTTTCTCTTTTTTTTTTTGTTTTTTTTTTTGAGACAGAGTCTCATTCTCTTGCTCAGGCTGAAGTGCAGCGGCACAATCACGGCTCACTGCAGCCTCAACTTCCCATGCTCAAGTGATCCTTGTGCATCAGCCTCCCTTGTAGCTGGGACTACAGGTGTATGCCACCATGCCCGGCTAAATTTTTTTTTTTAATTTTTTGTAGAGATGACGTCTCACTATGTTTCCCAAGCTGATTTCAAGCCCCTAGCCTTAAGCAATCCTCCCACCTTGGCCTCTCAAAGTGTTGGGATGACAGGTGTGAGCCACCATGTCCTGCCACGTTTTTTGTTTGTGTTTTGCTTTTTTAAAGACAAGGTCTTGCTCTGTTGCCTAGTTTGTAATACAGTGTTGCAATAATAGCTCACTGCAGCTGCGAACTCTTTTTTTTTTTTTTTTTTTTTTTTTTGAGATGGAGTCTTACTTTGTTACGCAGGCTGGAGTGCAGTGGCGTGATCTCAGCTCAATGCCACCTTTGCCTCCCGAGTTCAAGCAATTCTCATGCCTCAGCCTCCCAAGTAGCTGGGACTACAGGCACGGGCCACCACGCCCGGCTAATTTTTTTGTATTTTTAGTAGAGACAGGGTTTCAGCATTATTGGCCAGGCTGATCTTGAACTCCTGACCTCAAGTGATCCGATCACGCCTCGGCCTCCCAAAGTGCTGGGATTATAGGTGTGAGCCACTGTACTCGGCCTTACTTTATATTAATAATATTGATGCATGCTCTAGAGAATTAACATTCTTACAGCTATTATCTCCATGCTGCTATTTTTCTCTATGCTTTGGACTGGAAGTTAGGACACCTGAGATTTAGGTTCTGCCACCAAATTGCCAGGTGTCATGTTGGGTCTTTGTTTCTCCATTTATTAAATAAATAATAACCGTAAAAAAACTTATATAGAAATGGAGGCACAGAGATGTTAAGCAAATAGTCAGAGATTAAGAGCCAGAAAGTGTCAGAGGTGGGAATTCAGGACCCTGGCTCCAACTCTGGGCTCATAACCATTACGTATAGGGATTGGTTTGAACCAAGCATGGAAAGAGGTTTCAATTCAAAAGTCAGTTCCAGTGTAGCTTGTATTAAAATAACTCTTCCACCAAAAACAGATAAAACTAGACAAAACCACATGCAACAATCACTTATAAGAACTGGAATGGAGCAACACAGGAAGAATTTCTGAGAATATGATGCTAGAGAGAAGGAAGGAATCTTCAAATTTATCCTAGCCTTTTTCTTTCTTTTTTTATTCTTTGAGATGGAGTCTCATTCTGTCACCCAGGCTGGAGTACAGTGGCACAATCTCTGCTCACTGCAACCTCCACCTCCTGGGTTAAGTGATTCTCCTGTCAGCCTCCCAAGTAGCTGGGATTGCAGGCACCCACCACCATAAGTGGCTCTTTCAGGATCCAAAAGGGCATTCTTTATGCTCTAAGCCCCTTTGAGTTACCAACCAAGATAGTTTCAGTTCATTCCTATCACCATTTACTCCACTCCCATTTCAACAGTTTAAATGGCCACTCTCACTTTGACCCTTCACCTTCCAGGTGGAACACCAACCAAAGAGATTGAGGAAGAAGGTCATTACAGATTCCCAATGGTCCTGGCAAGTTTGCTGATGTTCTCAGAGCAGGCTGAGAAAATTCTTATGATGCCTGGCTACTTAGGGAAAGAGCCATTGTATAGAGGAAAAAGATGTGCCTTTGAAATAGTATGGCCCTGGGTAAAATTCTGGCTCTGCTAATGGCCCAGTGACATTGGGAAAAGTCAGTTTACTGGGCTGTGTCAGTTTTTCCTATCTGTGAAACTGGTTTATGAAATGAACCATGAAATGCAGCATTATTATGAGAAATATCAAAGATGCACGTTGAATGCTGAGCACAGTAAAGCACCACAGGAAGTACCAAGTTAATGGTAGCTGCTATTATTATTATTTTTTTGTTAGTCAACTTCACATGTTCGGAGGATCTGCAAATCTCTGCCTCTGGAAGAATTTCCCCCAGGTGCTCTTACCAAAACATGAATTCAGTGGGAGCCTCATGGGGGCTTGCTGAAACCCACCCACTTTCCTGTGAATAGAAAATGCTCACATGTTGTTTTGGCTCCAAAAGCTGGTTCTGTCAAGAGTAGTAAAATTGTTGTGGTTAAGCCCCTAGAGTTGTTTGGGAGAACCAAGAGGTCGTGGGGAGAGCTGGCAGGAAGTGGCTGGGCAGACCTTAGAATGTAGTAATGGGAAAGCTATGCTGGCAATTTGCAGCATTCAGCCGAATCTGGATCTGGACCTCCCCTTCTGGGGTCTCCATGGGGGATCAGGAAGTCAAGAACAGTGGTTCTTCCTCAGTCCTTCTGGGGCTGGGGTCAGCATCTGGGCTTGCTGTGTTAGATAAGCCTGGGCATGGCAGAGATGGCGAGATACCCAACAAACATTTGTGACCTCTCAGCATTTCCGGAGTGAGGAGTTGTCACTTGGAGGTCATGGTGTAGGTAAGGACCATAGTTCTGGGCTTCCTCTGCAACCAGCTAGGGCCATGTGACTGGATCTTACACATAAAATATGAGCAGAGTGAGCCATTCCTGAGTTGGTGACTTCAAAAAGCAATAGGGCTTCTTTGTCTTCTTTTCCCCTGTAGAGCTGATGGCTGCAGAAGACTGTGAGTTCCTAAGGGATGGCAGACCCACGGTATGTAGCAATCCTGAGTCTCTGAATCATCATGTGGGGGAATACCCACCCTAGACCTTTAGATGAGCATAAACAATGCATTTCCATTGTGTGAAACCACTAAAATTTTTTAGTGAATTTGTTACAGCAGCTAATGTTGCCCTATTACTCCAAGTTCAGTATCCCTAAATTCAAAAAGCCTTAGCCCTCCTGCTCACTGTTACTCTGGGGCTCTGGGATGGCAGTTCTAGTACCTCTCACCTCCACCAGCTGAACCTGGACTCTTTAAAATCAAGTGGGCCAGCCGTGGTGGCTCACATCTGTTATCCCAGCACTTTGGAAGGCCGAGGCAGGCAGATCACGAGGTCAAGAGTTCGAGACCATCCTGGCTAACATGGTGAAACCCCGTCTGTACTAAAAATACAAAAAATGAGCTAGGCATGGTGGTGCGTGCCTGTAGTCCCAGCTACTCAGGAGGCTGAGGCAGGAGAATCACTTGAACCTGGGTGGCGGAGGTTGCAGTGAGCCGAGATTGCACCACCCTGGTGACAGAGCAAGACTCCATCTCAAAAAAACAAACAAAGAAACAAAAACACCAAGTGAGTGAAAAACACTAACCACACCAAGTGTTGATGAGGATGTGGAGGAACTGGAACTCTCATACACTGCTGGGGGCATGTAAAATGGTGCAATCAGTTTGAAAAACAGGTGGACAGTTTCTTAAAAGTCTCTAGAGTGAGTCTGCTAGCAAGACAGAGTCTTCATAAGGTAACATAGCTCCAGAAATGACATTCCACCACTGTTGCTATATTTTATTGGTTAGAAAAAAGTCATAGGTCCCACCCATATTCAAAGAGGGAATTACATAAAGCTGAGAACACCAGGAGGCAGGACTCATGGAGGGGAGTAACTTAGAGTCTGAATAAGAAACAATAATAAATATAGAATACATATGAATAATAATATTTCATGGGCATCATTAATATTTCTCATAATAATGCTGCATTTCATGGTTCATGGTTCATTTCATAAACCAATTTCATTTAAACATGCAAGCTGCGATTATATTAAAAATAATAATAAATATAGAATATAATTGTAATGATATTTTAGACTTTCTGGTTTCCCACAGTCTGTAACTTAGAGTCTAAAATATCATCCCAGTTATAGTCTTGGCTTAGTGCAACCTCCACCTCCTGAGTTCAAGCGATTCTCCTGCCTTAGCCTCCTGAGTAGCTGGGATTACAGGTGCCCACCACCATGCCCAGCTAATTTTTGTACTTTTAGCAGAGATGGGGTTTCACCATGTTGGCCAGGCTGGTCTCGAACTCCTGACCTCAGGTCATCCACCTGCCTCGGCCTCCCAAAGAGCTGGGATTACAGGCGTGAGCCACTGCACCCGGCCCCAAATATATATTCTTTGAGTGAATATATTTATTAAAAACAAAGTAACATGTTGAAATATGGTTTTAAGGTTTAAAATGTGATGATATCAATGAAAGTGCTTTATAAAGTGTAAAACATGCTGTAAATGTTAGGCCCTATTTTTATGATGACATCACCCACTTACCTTCTTAAAAATTATTGTATTTTTCTTTAAATTTTTATTTTTATTTTTGTTAGCATTGTCCACCAAATACTTCTCATTTTTCCTCCTCCTGGGCACCTGGTGGGATTGCATTCACAGTTCCTCAAAGTGACCAAGTGATTTGCATTGAGCATTGAAAGGTGAGTGGGTGTAAGATGTGTCACTTCTGGATGGAAGCTTTAGGAGCTGGTATGTATGGTGACACTCACTATTCTCTTTTGCTGTAGCTAGATACAGTGTTTCCATGGTGATTTCTTACTCCATCTCAGCCTGGGTCCCTAGACATGGACTAGGCCAAGGAGAGTTCCCAGCTGAATCAAAAAAAAAAAAAGCAGAGAAAGCAAGAAATAAACCTTTATTGCTTCAATTCACAGTTGGTTTGGGATTGTTTGTTACTACATCATAACCCAGCCCGTCCTGACTGACATAATAACCAACTCTTCTTGGGTAAATAGCCTCTTGCTGGTCTTCACTATAGAACACACCAGAATTGCTCATATGAAAAGCAGTGAGCTTCTAATTGATTAGAGAATTCACAACTGTTTTCTGTGATTGTGAGTTTGTATTGTTCCTGATATCTTAACAAGTGTGGTATGTTGCATAGCCTTTCAGTGTGTATTGGTTTATTACTCTAAGGAATGACTGCCTAGCCATTTATTTATTTATTTATTTATTTATTTATTTATTTATTTATTGAGAGGGAGTCTCGCTCTGTGGCCCAGGCTGGAGAGCAGTGGCGCAATCTCGGCTTGCTGCAACCTCCACCTCCCGGGTTGAAATGATTCACCTGCCTCGGCCTCCCGAGTGGCTAGCATTACAGGCATGCGCCACCACACCTGGCTAATTTTTATATTTTTAGTACAGATGGGGTTTCACCATGTTGGTCAGGCTGGTCTCGAACTCCTGACCTCAAGCGATCCACCTGCCTCGGCCTCCAAATGTGCTGGGATTACAGGCATGAGCCACTGCGCCAGGCCTTTAGAACATGATATTATTCATACAGAGTACTAGGCTGGGAGACCAGACCCTGCAAAGTTCAGACAACAGTCATCACCCTTTATCCTGTATCAGTGGGAGCTGTAGAAGACTCACAATGACTTTGTTTTACCTGCAACCTCATAGTGCAACTCTTTTTTCCTGCCACTCTCTTCTTATGCTAGTTCTTTTCTTAATGAAGCCATGCAAACAAACTAGCTCTTTTGCAAAATTCAGTCTCCAAGAAACCTGGCTTTTTGTCAAGTAAGAGCTTTAGAAGAGCCTCAAACCAGCAGACCTCACCAGCATATTCTAGTTTCAGATGTATGTGCTCTATGACACTACAAAAAACTAGACAGAATTTGTCCTAGTTGGGGTTTTGGAAACCAAGAATGGGAAAGAGAGTGTATACATGAACATCCCCCACCCAGCCTTTGACCTTGATTGAAATAAGGCAACCCCAAAGTCATTCAAAAGCTCATTGTTGGGGCTGGCTTTAGGGTAAGAATGGCCCTTTTTCACTGCGGCCTTTGTGATTAATACACCAGATTCATAAATACACATATGTATTATACGTACATCCATTTTTATATCAATAGAAAATGCTTTCCAGATGTGTGTTTGAGGTGATAGGCTTTGTGCTGCAAAAGTTTTATTTTCTGTGAGGTCTCAGCCCAGCCTAGCATATAGCCTATTGTTTTTATATCAAAAAGACGGGTCTTACCTGCTTAATAAGCTGGAGGAATTCGCAGCAACCTGGGGGGAACTGAAGGAATGCAGCTTTCGGATCCGATTAGAGAGATGTGGCCAGGTCCCCAGGGTTCTCAGGTTTAGTTGCTGAGGCCTACAATGTCATCCATTGTCTTCTGCCGCCATGTGCGAAATGATTCAGGTTTCTGTGCCCCTCTGCCCCGCCCGTGTGCAAGGCCCCAGAGCACACCCAGGGGGCTGCTGACCACTAGGCTTGCTGTTGGCTTTCTGGTTTCCCACGGTCTTTGCAAGTGTTTTTTGTGGTGGCCTTTGTGGGAGCATGAAAAAGGGAGCCACAGTTTTCTGAGTCTCTCAGAGAAGTCCAGACTCCCAAAGTTTGATGCGTCTTTTCTCTTTGACTTGTGAGTGGCAGACGGCTTCAGTGCATGAGCTTTAGAGTCAGAATTCTGTCTTGGTGTTTATCGACTGTGTAACCTTGGGCAAGCCACTTAACCTCTCTGAGCTCATCTGCTGTAGATCTGAACACTTCACAGCTCTTGGGTTATTGAAAGATTAAATTAGATAATGCATGGACAGCTCTTAGCACAGAGTCCAACACATAACAAACGCCTAATAAATTGTAGCTAATATTGTTATCATTATTATTACTATTATTAGGATGATTTATTTTATTTTTATTTATTTATTTATTTTTTTTGAGACAGGGTCTCTTTCTGTTGCTCAGGCTGGAGAGCAGTGGCGTGATCACACCTCACTGCAGCCTTGACTTCCTGGGCTCAAGCAATCCTCCCACCTCAGCCTCCTGAGTAGCTGGGACTACAGACATGCACCACCAAGCCCAGCTAATATTTAAAAATTTTTTGTATGGATGGGGTCTCACTATGCTGTCGAGGCTAGTCTCAAACTCCTAGGATCAAGCCATCCTCCTGCCTTGGCCCCCTTAAGTGCTGGGATTATTGGCGTGTGCTGCTGCACTGGCCCGTAATGATTTCACTTAAGCCTGAATCCACACTGATTTTCCCATGTGAGTCCACTGGCTTAGAAGTAGGTGTGAGTAAAATGCCTCTGGAAGTCCTTCCTGGACCTACCTGAAATTTTTCTTGAAACATCTCCTTTGGGCACATCTTCCAGAGTCCTGAAAACAAACACTTTGTCCCAGTAGTTGGAGCCGTAATCAGGGACTTTGAACTCTAGGTAAGTTCCCTCCTACCCCACTCTTCTTTTTGGAAGGGCTGGTTTAGGCCAACCTCAGATCAGAAGCATAAAGTGAAATTCTGGGCTCTGGAGCCAGTGCTGGCTACAGATCCCCCCTTTTTTTTTTTGAGATGGAGTCTCACTCTGTCGCCCATGCTGGAGTGCAATGGTGCGATCTTGGCTTACTGCAACCTCCGCCTCCTGGGTTCAAGCGATTCTCCTGCCTCAGCATCCCAAATAGATGGGACTACAGGCACACGCCACCACGTCCGGCTAATTTTTTTATTTTCAGTAGAGACAGGGTTTCGCCACATTGGCCAGGCTGGTCTTGAACTCCTGACCTCAGGTGATCCACCTGCCTCGGCCTCCCAAAGTGCTGGGATTACAGGCGTGAGTCACCATGCCCGGCCTACAGTTCTCTTTTGATGTGAGCTTTCATCTTTTTCCAGAGTGGACCCCAGATGGGTACACACTAGGCACTCCATTAGCATGTCCTGAGTGAGGGGGTGGATGAAAAGAGGCTTAGCTAATGGTCATCCCGGAGGAAGTAATAATACGATGGTGATAATGATACTAAAATCAGTCATTTTCTGGGTGCTTATGTACTCTATACCAGGCAGTAGGCTGGGTGTTACATACAGATTTTTTTCATTTGCTTCTCAAAAGATACCCTTTGGTATAGACACCCTGGTGTCCTTTTAAGAGATGAGGATGTCGGGGTTTACCCCAAGTCCCCATGATGGTAAAGGGCAGAGCCCAGATTTGGGGCTAAAGAGTCTGATTCAAGAGCTCTTGCATCTGTCCACCAGGTTGTGGGGCCTACCTGACTCAGTTGTCAAAATGCTCAAGCTTTGAGTTGGCCTCGTGTTGATGTCCCCAAGGAGCTGCCCTGCTCTGTTTTAGATCAAGATGACTTAGGTGAGCTCATAAAACTGGAGGGGCAAAATTTTAGATTCTCTGTTTAAAGAAAGGTAGGGACCTACTTGTCCATGGACAGATTGACTAGATCGTGCTTTAACAGAAGTTCCCAAACATTTTTTTCATTTTTGAGACAGGGTCTTGCTCTGTTGCCCAGGCTGGAGTGCAGTGGCATGATCACAGCTCACTGCACCCTCAAACTCTCAGGCTCAAGTGATCCTCTTGCCTCAACCTCCTGAGTAGGTGAGACCACAGGCATGCACCATTATGCCTGGCTAATTTTTTTATTTTTGTAGAGACAAGGTCTCCTTATGTTGCCCAGGCTGGTCATAAACTCCTGGTCTCAAGCGATCCTCCTGCCTCAGCCTCCAAAAGTGCTGGGATTACAGACATGAGCCATTGTGCCCGGCCTCATGAAACCTTTAAAAAGAATGAGCTAGACTGGTACAAGTTCCTCCAATAATTTCATCTTTAGTTAATAATTATATACATTAAATATCTATGTTTCTATACAAGGAGAAAAGGTCTATAAGATATATAACCAATGTTTAAGTGTTGGTTAAATCTTATACTTTTTCAGTTTTAAAATTATATTTATTATTTTAATCTGAAGTTTATATTTTTTCAATTAAAAAATAAATCAAAAACACAGAAGGATATACAGGGAAGACTCCTCCCTTTTCCTGTCCATAGCCTCCCAGTTTTTCTTCACAATGGCAGCCACGGCTTTCCATTTATTATGTGTCTTTTTAGAAAGTGTCAATGCTCAGACTCCAATTAGGAGAGAGAGTTTTCTTTTTAGTGCGTACTTGTTTAGTATCCATTGCTTGAATTTTTCACAAGCATGGTTTTAAAAAAATCAAAGATAACAAAACATAATCATTAAAGGGCACAACTATTTGACCCCGTCTTACCCCCAGCTTCAGAAGCAGATGCTATGAGACTGTCTCTTCTTTAACTGAGACAAGAAACTGTGTTCTCTGGTTCTCCAATAGCTACAACAGTGGAGCTTTCAACTGGGGTGGAGGAGAAAATCCCGAGGTCTTTGATCTCTGGTCCCATCACCTTGATTGGTCTCCATGGTAACCACCATATCCAAGTAGGTGGAGAATGAGTCCTATTGTTCCTTCCTCCCCACCTTCATTCCACCTTAATTACCCAGGCCTTGGTTTGCATTCATGAGCCAGGAAGACATGCATGTAGATAAAGTGACTCACCTGCCTCCTCTGTTCCTTTCTTTACCTGCCTTCTCTAGCTACAAGACGCCTCCATTGCTCTCATGGTCCTGGGTTCAAGTCTCAGTTATCTGTGTGATTTAAGCCTTATGACCCTGTACAGGGAGCACTTTGCACCTGAAGGCCTGGCTTTCTCATTTGTGGCCAGGCTTGGTGGCTCATGCCTGTAATCCTAACACTTTGGGAGGCCGAGGTGGGAGGATCACTTGAGTCCAGTAGTTCAGGACCAACCTGGGCAACATAGTGAGACCCCGTCTCTACAAAAAAATAAAAAAAAGTTAGCCAGCCATGATGGCATGCACCTGTGGTCCCAGCTACTCCAGAAACTGAAGTGGGAGGATTGATTGATCCTAGGAGGTCGAGGTTGCAGTGAGCCATTATTGCACCACTGCCTGGGCAACAGAGCGACTCTGTCTAAAAAAAAAAAAAAAAAATGGCCAGGCATAGTGGCTTATGCCTGTAATCCCAGCACTTTGGGAGGCCAAGGCAGGTGAATCATTTGCGGTCAGGAGTTCGAGACCAGCTTGGCCAACATGGTGAAATCCTGTCTCTACTAAAAATACAAAGTTAGCTGTGTATAGTGGTGCATACCTATAATCCCAGCTACTTGGGAGGCTGCTGAGACAGGAGAATCGCTTGAACCTGGGAGACAGAGGTTGCAGTGAGTTGAAATTGCATCACTGCACTCCAGCCTGGGCGACAGAGCTAATTTTTGTGTTTTATTGGAGACAGGGTTTTTCCATGTTGACCAGGCTGGTCTCCAACTCCTGACCTCAAGTGATCTACCCGCTTCGGCCTCCCAAAGTGTTGGAATTACAGGTGTGAGCCACTGTGCCTGGCCAACATCACTTTCTCTAGGGTTTTTACTTGATTCACCAAGACGTTCACTTTAGTTGCTCCCAAATCTTAGTATTTGTCACATTGTATGACAGCTGTCCATTTCCTTACCTGTAACCACCTACTTTAGTTTGTGAGCACCTAGAAAGCTGGGTCTGTGTTCTTTTTGGTGTTTAATTTCCTGGCAGAATATTTCTTCTAGAACATTCTTGGTAGATGTTTGGATATATTCATTGCACAAATATTTATTGAGCAGCTACTATGTGTTGGGCACTATAGTTATGAACCAAAGAAAAGATCCTTAACCCCAGGGAGTTTATGTTCTAATGTGGGTGGATGCATGGATGTGGTCTCTGGAATGCCTGACCATCAGCAATACGGATCTTCTTGTAGTTCTCCAGATACATGGGATTTTCATCTCTGCATTTGCACGTACCGTTCCCACTGCTTATGGTGTCCTTTCTCCAGTGTTTGCTCAATCTCCACACCCTAGCTGGGGGGAATAAATCCCTGCTATAAACCACTGTGTCTGTGACCCTCTGGCACTTTGAAAACCCAGTTCAAGCAGGGTTTCGAGTGTGTGGGTGCCCCTGGAATGTGGACCACAAGGGAATCAGGAGAACATCTCACACTTGACCTTTGCAGCTCCAGGACCCAGGTCAGGGCTTGGCACTGAGGAAGCCCTTAGCAGACATGTGCTAAAGAATGAGGGTGTGCCATCACATCCTCGCTCCTTCTGCTTCTGGCTGAGGACTGATTTAGTCTATAAGGGGCCTCTTCCACAATTCTGATCTCATCCACTACTTAATAATGAGACTAATTTAACTCTCAGAGACCGGTGGCAGAGGCCTGGCCAGGGCTCTGGGATTATCCAGAAACACGCTTCTCTAGGATGGCCAAGTGACCTGGTGGGCCTTGTAGTGCCCATTGTTCCCAGATAACATGCACATTGTTTATTAACAACATTGATTGACTTTTCTGTTAAGAGAAGTGTTCCTTTCTCACATAGACAGTGTTTAAGTTTTGTTGAGAAACAAACATTCATGCTATAGCTGCACAACTGTAATTATTTGGGGGAAGGGGGATTTATCCAAGGCTTGAGGGGATGTAGGGATGGGGCAGGCAGCCTTTTCCCCTGGGCAGGCTTGTTAGGACCCTGTAGGGGGCCACAGTCTCACACAACTGCATTTGATGTAGGCCTAGCTGGCTGTCTGGCTTCTCTGTTTCTGAAGATGAACTACATTTCTAGAAGAAGACATTCTGTCTATAAATTAGGACTCCTCACTCTTATTCCAGTGCTCTTTTCTTTTGTTTTTTTAGAGACAGGGTCTTACTTTGTCACCAAGTAGGCTGGAGTGCAGTGGGGCAATCATTAGTGACTGTAGCCTCAAACTTCAGAGTAGCTGGGATTACAGGTGTGTGCAACCATGCCTGGCTAGTTTTTTTAAAAACAATTTGTTCAGATATGGGGTATTGCTGTCCTGCCCAGGCTCATCTTGAACTCTTGGCTTTAAGTAATCCTTCCACCCTGGCCTCCCAAAGTGGCAGTGTTTTTTGTTTGTTTGTTTGTTTGTTTGTTTGCCTTATAGAGTCTCTCAACCCAAAGAAATGGTTCTAGAAATTGCTTACTTACTGAGTCAAAGATTGTTTTACCAGTACATTGGTGGAAAGAAAAATATTTTGAAAGCTATAGGTAAGCTTACTGGACTCCTCTTGTGCCTTCTATAAAATTCAGGTTTAGCTCAGGGGTAGCAAACACTAATATCTTGTAGGGTTGGGCAGGTAGCACAAATGAATGAAATTGATCAGAGATGTATTAGGCAGGCTCCTGGCCAGAAACTGATGGTACCCTCCAACTGGGCCATTTGAAGGGAAGTTACTCAAGAGATTATTTACAAATGCCTAGGCAAGATGTAGGGAAACTAATGAGGTAGAATGAAACCAACAAGAAATAGTGCAGAATTGCCAGGCATGATGGCTCATGCCTTTAATCCCAGCACTTTGGGAGGCTGAGGCTGGTACATTGCTTGAGCTCAGGAGTTCGAGACCAGCCTGGACAACATGGTGAAACCCCATCTCTACTAAAATCACAAAAAATTAGCTGGGCATGGTGGCATGTGTCTGTGGTGCTGGCTACTCGGGGTGCTGAGGCAGGAGGATTGCCTGAGCCCAGGAGGCAGAGGTTGCAGTGAGCTGAGATCATGCCACTGCACTCCAGTCTGTGTGACAGAGTGAGACTCCATCTCAAAAAAAAAAAAAAAAAAAAGAAGAAGAAGAAGAAAGAAAGAAAGAAATAGTGCAGAAGCCTAGGCTACTCGTACCTGGGAGCCGTTATCTCCCCTAGGCTGAAAGAGACCTTACTGAAGAGGGCGATTCTATGGAGAGATCCTCTATGGGAGCTCTGATCTTGTGTAGAAGGACTCAGCCAACCTGCAGAGACTTAGTGACCTCACTGGGAGGGAGCTGGGGAGTGTATACCCCAACCTCACTCACTTACACTCATGTTTCCTCCCCATGTCTCCAAATCGAAGCCAAAGAAGGGACCCATGATGATCCATAAGGATTAATCTCCACAGACAGAAAGCAGAGTGGGGAGGGGTGGAGAGCAGATCTGTGGGACAAATAGAAGGTGCTGACATGGAATGTAGGACAGGTTTCATTTCCACAAAGAATATGTCCCATTTTCATTGAAAAACATGGCGTTCCTCATCTATCTTAACTTCTGTACCTTAGTTTTTTATTCTCTAAAATAGAGTGATTGTAGTGATAATAATGATGATAAGACAGCACCCATTACCAGCCCTCAGAGCTTCACTGTGAGGATTAAATGAATGCGTTCACATAATGAACTTAGGTAAGGGCCTAATACTCCAGGTAAGGGCCTAATACTCCAGGTAAGGCCAGCTTTTATTTTTGTTATTATTAGGTTGGTGCAAAAAACAATTGCATTTTTTTGCCATTTAAAAAGTAATGTCAAAACCTGGAATTACTTTTTGCACCAACCAATAAATCATTATGATCCTTCGTTTTGCCACTTTTGTTTGTTTATTTATTCATTTATTATTTTTTGATATGGAGTCTCGCTCTGTTGCCCAGGATGGAGTGCAATGGTGTGATCTTGGCTCACTGCAACCTCCACCTCCTGGGTTCAAGTAATTCTCCTGCCTCAGCCTCTCTAGTAGCTGGGATTACAGGTGCCCACCACCATGCTGGGCTAATTTTTGTATTTTTAGTAGAGACGGGCTTTCACCATGTAGGCCAGGCTGGTCTTGAAGCCCTGGCCTCAAGTGATCTGCCCACCTCGGTCTCCCAAAGTGTTGGGATTACAGGCATGAGCCACCGCTCCTGGCTTGTTTCTCCACTTTTGAAAGAGACGTGGGTATACTTTTTTTTTTTTTAAGACAGTCTTAGTCTGTCATCCAGGCTGGAGTGCAGTGGCACAATCATAGCTCACTGCAGCCTTGATTTCCCAGGCTCAAGTGATCCTCTCACCTCAGCCTTCTGACTAGACGGGACCACAGGTGTGTGCCACTGCATCTGGCTAATTTTTTAAATTTATTTATTTTTATAGATAAAATAAAAACGCGTGGCCCAGGCTGATCTTGAACTCCTGGCCTCAAGCAATCCCCCCACCTTAGCCTCGCAAAATACGAAGATAGAAGCATGAGACAGTGCACTCACTGGCCTTTAACTAAAAGAAATATACATATTTTATCTACTTTTTTGTGGAAATGAAGTCTGGCTATGTTGTCCAGGCTGGTCTCAAACTCCTGGCCTCAAGCAATCTTCCTGCCTTGGCCTCCTAAGTTGCTGGGATTATAGGCCAAGAGACATGGGTATAAAACCTATTACTGTCTGAAGCTCAATGATAAACAGCAACTGACACAGTGCAAGGGGCAATAGGGAGTGGTGGGGACTGTGGCAAAATGCAGGATCCCATCTCAAGGGACCACCCACCACTCAGCTCTAGCTGATTATGACCTTGTAGAAATGTAGGTTTAATGTTGCTACAACTTTCAAGTTTTCAAGAAAAGCTAGAAAATTGGAATTTTTTCAGTGTGAAAGCTTCTGATTTTTAAATGTTGGCAAATAAATCAAATTAAAAAAAAAATATCACGTGCGCCAACACTCTGTGAGCCAAACAAAAGAAGTCCGGGGGCTGAATTGTAGATCACATGCAGCCAGTTGTAATCTTGGGTGTAGCTGATGCCTGTGGACCAGAGGAAGCTGCTGGCTTCTCAAGAGAGAAAGAGCACGACCTTGACCTCCGGCAGAAGCCTCTTTAGTAAGAATGAAGATAAGATAATGCATCCTTGACTTAAAACGCAAGTGCTGGGAGAACTCAGAGGAAGGGGAGATATTTAGTGCGCGGGACAGGCAGGAGTGCCTGAGAGTGGGCTTTGTCATTAAGAAGAGACATGAAGTGAATTTTATAGGAAGCAAGGGACAGGTCTGATATCACAGCTACACGTCAAAGGTAGCCAGAGTCCTAGGCTTGTCTAGATGGGGCCATGAAGTGCTTTTTGCTTTGTCTAAAGTTTTTAAAGATTCTTTTTGGGGGAAGTAAAGATAAAACTCGATTGTGTGATATCGTATACATTTGAGGAATTAACATCAGAATGCATTCATGGTTTCTCTCGGAGAAGCCAGGTTGCAGGCAATGCTCCACATGTTCAGGGCCGTCCAACTTAATACACCTCTGGAGTGGGCTCAAGCTCTCCTCCTGCTTACTTTCCTTTAAAAAGAATCAAAATGCCAATTTGAATTCCCCATCTTCAGAGGCAGACCGGGGCACACAATCATGTATAGAAATCCCTCCCCACACACACATCTGTTATACACATTGCCACGGTGTACTCTGGTTGTTCAACAATGAGCAGAATTATTTCCTCTCATTACTTGCGATGTCGCTTCAAAACCGCACTCGGAAAAATAAAACCGCTGAAGGGGTCTCAGCCAATCCAACTGCCTTGCCAGCCCAACTTTCCAAACAGGAGTTGGGGGGGTGGCGGGGGAGGGGGGAGGTGTTGGGGTGCACTGGGGCGGAGGTTGGCTGTGTGTGAGGGAACAGAGCCATAGCTGGGATGAATTCCTGTTGCTTTCTGTGTGTCCCATTGCGTGTCTGTGTGAGTGTGGGTCCATGCATATGTCTGTACATCTGTCTGTCTGTGTGTCTGTCTGCATGTCTGCATTTTTCTGTCTCTATCTGCCCCGATATCTCTCTGTACTTGTCTGTCTGTGTCTGTCTTTTTGTCTGTCCCTGTCTCTGTGTGTCTCTGTGTGTGCTGTGTATCTGTTTTAAATAGCACTCACTTACCAAATATTTACACTCTGTAAGTCCTCGTACGACATGCTTTTTGCACACACAGGCATTCCTATTGAATCTTTACAGTAACCACACAGCAGAAAGTACAATCTTAATTTTACAGATGATTAAACAGAGGCCTGCTAGTCTATTCATCCATTCATTCAAATATATATTCAGCATCTCTTGAGCGCCAGGCATGGTTCTAGGCACCAGGAAACAGCACTGGAGACACAGAAATCCCCTCCTGGCACGGGGCTCACATAAGTGGGGAGAGATACATTATAGATCAGTATACAAATGGATATTATTTCAGAGCTAGCAGGTGGTAAAGCTGGCACGTGTTCATAGAACCTGCTAAGGGTGAGGGTTGTCAGCTTGAGCCCTGAGCTAGAATTCAAGACATCTGGGGAGGTAGCACAGCTAGCTTAACTCCTTTGCAAAA
Source organism: Homo sapiens (assembly GCF_000001405.40). Taxonomy (NCBI): domain Eukaryota; kingdom Metazoa; phylum Chordata; class Mammalia; order Primates; family Hominidae; genus Homo; species Homo sapiens. The sequence goes on from NC_000012.12 coordinate 114,848,461, forward strand.
GACACACCTGTGCCAGGTGAAAAGAGGGCCCAGTATTGAGTGTTCAGTTTGAAAGTCACCTTAGTCATTTGCTTGTAGGAATGCTATATTCTTCAGAGTTTGGGGATCTTGCAAAATGACACCCCTCCAAATGGCTGGGGAGAATGAAATAGGTGAGTACCCACTTTGTACTTATTTCTGCAGAGGCAGTGGCTGTGTGGATTGGAGATGCAGACCTCTCTTTTTCTGTCCTGAATTATGTCCAGGTGCCCATGTGAGAAGGCAGGGGTCTGGGCATTGCACATACTTGAGTTGGAGCATTGGCTCAACTGCATATGGCCTGTGTGTCCTTGGGTGAAGTGATCCAAGAATTGGACTCAAAAGAATACTAACACTCTGCGTGAAGCAGGGAGGCCTGGAAGAGAAGATTTGTTTTCAGTTGAGTCATGCTGAACTGAGCATTCAGTTCTCTTGGGACCTGTTCACACCACAGAATTCCCTTAGCATGGAGAAAAACAGTTGTGTGATTCAACATTAAGAAGCTAGTATTTATTGAGCCTTTTTTTTTTAAAGTGCTAGGGACTAGATACTAATTCCTCTATATATGCTGTATCCCTCTGAGGTCGCTATTATTATTACTATTTTTTTTCTTCAAAAATAGAGATAGGGTCTTGCTGTGTTGTCCAGGTTGCTCTTGAACTCCTGGCCTCAAGCAATTCTTTTGCTTCGGCCTCCCAAAATACTGGGATTACAGTGAGCCACCGTGCCTGGACTGAGGTAGGTATTATTAAGCCTGTCTTTGAATGGAACAGTTGAGGTTCAGAATGGCTAAGATGCTTGTCCAAGGCCACACAATCAATGTGGGACATAAACACAGGTTCCTCTGGTTTCATGGACAATACTTGTCACCACAACAGTTTCACCTGACCAAGCATATGGGGACTAAGGGGGTGGAGGTGGCTGGATATTGGTAGGAGAAGGGAAGTAAGGTAGGCTAAAAGTTAGGACTACAACCTTGGGAGAGGTCCTATCTGAACCCCTGAGTGTTCAGAGAAACAGAATGATACCCCTGTGCCATTGAGAGGACACCAAGGGAGAGAAAGAGCTTCAGAGGTTACCTGGGCATTTCCTTAGAATATGTGAGGTTGGGTGCAGTGGCTCACACCTGTAACTCCAGCACTTTGGGAAGCTGAGTGAGTGGATTTTTTGAGCTCAGGAGGTTGAGACCAGCCTGGGCCACATGGCAAAACCCTGTGTTAAAACAAACAAAAAAAAACTTTCAAAACTTTTTTCTGCCTCCCAGAATGCACCACAAAACAGTGCCATCTTGTTTTGCTTTTGTAGATTTGGGGATTATGGAGCTGGGTGTAGAATATGGAAACTTGAGCTCAATGAGTTCTGGTATCCTCCGTTTTCTCCAGAGAACAAACCAAGCAGTGTTGACTTATGTGGATGGATGTGTATTTCTAAGGAAGCAACAGGATTTAGGCACCAATTTATTGCTTAGGTTTAAAGGTGAGGAAAGGATAACCTCCCCATCCGGCCACTCAAGGTACTTGAGGTAGTGAGCCTCCCAGCCCTGGACGTATGTAAGCAGAGGATACATTATTCCGTGGAAGGATAAAGGGTCGGACTAAATAATATCTGAAGTTATTTTCAATGCCCAATTCCAAGTTTCTGTGACATTAAGGAGTTGGTTATACTCAGAGCCAATCAACTGTTTTATGCAGCATGCATTACTTCCTCTGAGGCTTAAACACTTAAGAATCTGCCGGGCATGGTGGCTCACACCTGTCATCCTAGCACTTTGGGAAGCCGAGGCTGGCAGATTACCTGAGCTCAGGAGTTTGAGACCAGCCTGGGCAACATGGTGAAACCCTGATTCTACTAAAAATACAAAAAATTAGCTGGGCTTGGTGGCACATGCCTGTAATCCCAGCTACTTGGAAGGTTGAGGCACAAGAATCCCTTGAACCTGGGAAGTGGAGGTTGCAGTGAGCTGAGATCGCACCATTGCACTCCAGCCTGGGTGACAGAGTGAGACTTCGTCTCCAAAAACCAAACCAAAAACACTCAAGAATCACCTGGCAAGTTATTTTTTTCCCTGAGTCTCAATCATTCCCTCCTCTTTTTTGGTCTAGATTTAGGCACAAAGGTTAGGATATTCAATCATGATTTACAGACATAGTATAATAGGGTGGTTCTAAGCCTGGGTTAAAATCATGCTCTACCACTCACTAGCTGGTGACTTTGAGCAAGTGACTAAACCCCTCTGAACTTCCGCCCTTCCTTCTGTAAGACGGGAATAATGAAACCTACCTCATGGTGTCAATGTCACGGTTGAAGGAGATGCACCGTGTAAAGCAATGATTATGGTGCTCAACACAGCGTAAGAGCTTTATAAATGTTAGCTTTTATTATTATTTAACAAGATATTAACTGAAGGCCAATGAAGTATGAAACCAGAGGAATCATGAGTAATATGTAGAAATGGAAAAAATTCTTCTGTTCTGGAAAAACCTGATCCTCCTACCTGCAAGGACATCCATATGAATGGAGGAAATGCAGGGAAACAGGTACATTCCTCCTCTCAATTTTCAAAAAGTCTTACCACGAGGTCACATTTGGATGAAACCCAAGGCTTGGGTGATGTTTGGGCCTTAACTTGATCAGAATCAGCCTTTCCCAACCAGTCTGCACATGCTATTGATATATCGTATAGCATTATTTATGACTTGTTGAATACCACAGTCTGCTCAGCCCTTTACAAGAGATGAAGAAAATAAGTTCTGGGCCCTTGTAGGTTTGGGATTTAAGTTACTCAGATTGAAAATGCGCTGGCTGAGAAAGGGCTTGGATGCCTGCGGCACGTTGACCCTAAACCCATTTATTCCTCCCATAAAGAAGACAATTAAATGAGTGGTTGGGTTTGCATCTTTGCAGAGTTGAACCTTGATATACAAAAAATAATAACAGCATACACTATTACAAATTAATTAAAAAAGAACTCTTTCTGAACTCTAAACCATGGAGCAGTAAGTCATCTTAAACTATGAAACTGAAGACATTTAGATTTCTTGACCTCCTCTACAAGTCTTTAACTCTTTTTGTTTGTTTGTTTTTTGAGATGGAGTCTCACTGTGTCACATGGACTGGAGTGCAGTGGTGTGATCTGGGCTCACTGCAACCTCTGCCTCCTGGGTTCAAGTGATCCTCCCACCTCAGCCTCCCGAGTAGCTGGGACTACAGGTGCCTGCCACCATGCCGGGCGAATTTTTGTATTTTTAGTGGAAATGAGATTTCACCATGTTGGCCAGGCTGGTCTAGAACTACTGACCTCAAGTGATCCACCTGCCTTTGCCTCCCAAAGTGCTGGGGTTACAGGCATGAGCCACCACACTGGGCCACAAGTCTTAAACTTTACTGTCCAAGTTATTTACCGTATAGGGGTGAGTGAGGGAGGAAGATGGCTTTTTAAAGGCGGAGAAGGAAACAGATGCCATTTTGTCTTGAGGGTTGGTGCCTTCAGGATCTCTGGATTCTCCTCTGTTCTGCCCATCCGTGCCAAGATGCTATTTAACCCTGACTGTCTTACTACGGCCTTTGCTTCGTGAAATCTTGAAGGTACCTTCATAAGGGAACATTGACTCATCGTCATTCTTTCAAGAAAGAGGATAGATCCTGTAGATCCAATTAAATAAATGCCCGTATGTTTGTTAGCAATGTGTGAACTTAGCCTCAAGCTGCTCAATTCTGCCCACAGTTGTAGGAAAATCTGACGGGTGTGAAACACTACAGGGCTTATCTCAAACGGAAGCTTCCTGTCTTGTGGCTAGTCTGATTCCTCACCCAAGAGAGAAAACTAAAAGTTATCCTGTCATTCACTAATTTTCCTTATATTCATCATGTCATGGCACTCCATAGCCTAGACAGCCTTCCATCCATCTATGGCTGCCCCTTCCTCTGCACACCCTGGTCTGGGACACCATTCCCTTTAATTTGTTAATTAATTTTTGTAGAAATGGGGTCTCACTATGTTGTCCAGTCTGGTCTCAAACTCCTGGCCTCCAGTGATCCTCCTGCCTTGGCCTCCCAAAGTGCTGGGATTAAAGGCCCTTTTACTTAAAAGGCAAGAACACCTTCCTAACTAGTCTCCTGCCTTTGCTGCTTTGTTTTACGTGAGAACCTGTTTTTAATCACTCATCCATAGTTAATGTCTTATTGTAGTTGAACATAAATGTAGCAAAATGCAAATGTAGGAAGGATACAGCTCCATCACATTTGCACAAAATGAACCCAGCATGTGCCCAGCACCCAGAAACACAATATTCCCACAATATTCCTCAGCAGCCCTTTCACCCACCTTCTCAGTCATTACCTTCCCTCACCCAAGGATAACCACTATCTTGACTTCTTACACATGGTTAGAGCTTTACTTGGTTTTGAAGCTTATAGAAAATGGAATCATCCAATATGTAGAGCCAGTTCTGCTATAATGCTTGTTTTGAAAATGCAAGTTTGTTCTCAGGTGATTGATATATTAGGGAACAATTTGAGCATAAGGCAAATTTTGCATGTGCTTATGTGTAATTTTGTTGTGAGAAACACTAAGTAAATATAGAAAACTGCACCCAGCTGAACTGAGCCACAGAGGAATACACAAAATGCACATTGCTCTAACATCTACCAGCTGCTCCCTCCTCAGTTCACTGCAACTGTCATGAGCCATCCTCATCCCCATCTGGTGTTACAACTTCCGGATTTCAGACAACCTCCTGCCACTTCCCAAAAACTCACAAGCTGCAACCCTTCCAGTGCACATTCCCACAAGCAAACTTCAGGACTTTTCTAAAGTCCCATATTTATTGTAGTATTTACGCACTTAAAAAAAAACATTTTACACGTGTAAAACTGTGCTATCACTTTTATTACGCTTTTTTTGAGACAAGATCTGTTTCTATCACCCCGGTTGGAGTGCAGTGGCACGATCTTGGCTCACGGCAAACTCCACCTCCCAGGCTCAAGCCATCCTCCCACGTCAGCCTCCCAAGTAGCCGGGACTACAGGCACATGCCACCATGCCCGGCTAATTTTTTAATTATTTTTTATTTTTTGTAGAGATGGGGCTTTACCATGCTGTCCAGGCTGGTCTCGAACTCCTGACCTCAAGTGTCTACCCACCTTGGTCTCCCAAAGTGCCGGGATTACAGCTGTGAGCCACCACGCCCGGCCATGTTCCTGTTTTTTAAAAAATGTGTCACTGACAAAGTTTTTGAGTATGTCTCCCAATCCCATTTCCCCCATAAACTCTGTGGCTTTTATTGAGTGAACTTACACAGCACAGTAATTTTTAGGTACACATACAAGGCCATAGCAGAACTTACTGTACTCTCATGTCTGGTTTCTTTCTTTCAGCATATCTCGTGTTTGTGAAATTAATCTATGTCACTGCACGTAATTGTGGACTGATTAGATTACTCTCAGTGTTGCATTTGACACCCTGTACAGTATAAGAATAACACAATTTATTTATCTGTTCTGCTATGGCTGGGCATTCAAATTGTTTCCAGTTTTGGGCTTTTTCAAACAGGGCAACTATGGACATTTGTGTTTGGTGAACATAACACTCCCATTTCTCTTAAGTGTATACCTGAGAGTAGAAGTATTTGCTGTCAGGAAAGGGGTATGTTCAGGTTTAGCAGAAAGTGCTAAACAATTTTCCAAAATGGTTGGACCAATGTATCCTCCCACCAGAAGCTTATGATATGTCCTAGGTTGTCCATTTATTTGCCAATTATGATATAACAAAGAAATAAATATTTGATTTTCACCCCCAGTTCCTGCACACAGCTCCTAAACCCGTGGAGCCTCCAGAGTGAGAAGAACGTTTTTGTATGCAAATGTGCTGGCTGGCAGATAGAAACACCTGGATAGCTACAGGATGGAGGCTGGTGACTGAGGGAAAGGCACAATTCAAGGGTTGGAACTTTCAGCTCCACTCCCTGACCCCTAAGGAGGGGAGAGGGGCTGGAGATTGGGCTAATCACCAATGGCCAATGATTTAATCAACAATACCTCCATAAAAACCTTCTAAATAATGGAGTTCAGAGAGCTTTCCTGTTGGTGAACACATGGAGGTGCTGGGAGGGTGATTCACCCAGAGATGGCAGGTGTATTAGTCTGTTCTCATGCTGCTAATAAAGATGTACCAGAGAGCAGGTAATTTATAAAAGAAAGAGGTTTAATGGACTCACAGTTCCACATGGCTGGGGAGGCCTCAAAATCACGGCAGAAGGCAAAGGAGAAGCAAAGGCATGTCTTACATGGCAGCAGACAAGAGGGCTTGTGCAGGGGAACTCCCATTTATACAACCATCAGATCTCATGAGACTTAGTCACTATTGTGAAAACAGCATGGAAAAGACCCGCCCCCATCATTCAATTACCTCCCATCAGGTCCCTCCTATGATACATGGGAATTATGGGAGATACAATTCAAGATGAAATTTGGGTGGGGACACAGCTAAACCATAGCAGCATGGAAGCTCCATGCCCCCTCTCCCCTCCCACACTTTATCCTATCCATCTCTTCCATTTGCATCCTGAGTTGCTCCTGAAGCCATCCTAGCAAAATATTGAACCTGAGGTGGGAGGTTTTGGGAACCTCTGATGTGTAGCCATGTTGGACAGCAAGATGGATTAGCTGGGAACCAAAGAGTTGTGACTGGTATCTAATGTGAGGGTGGTCTTGGAGGACTGAGCTCTCAAATGCGTGGAGTCTGACACTAATTTGGGGTAGTTAGTTGACAGAACTGAACTGAATTGCAGGACATCTAGTTGGTATCTGGAGAGGTGGAGATTTAGTTGGTGTGAGGAAAATCCACACACATTTGGTGTCAGAAGAGCTGCGAATTAGAACAGTTCACCAACGCCTGATGTTATCAGATTTTATTTTTCATTTTCACCATTATGATGAATGTCTCACCTTTACTTTTGGCTCCTCTAATCCCTTCACTCAAAGAGCCACAATGAACGGAAAAAAATGCAGGTCCAATCATGTCACTTCCTTATTAAAAACAGACACTTTATATGCCCTTAAGATACAGTACAGCCCATTAAGAAAGCCCTGGCTTCAGCCTCTTCTCCAATTCATCTTTTGTAACTTCGCTTCTTGCTTGTTTTACTACAAAATACTTAGATTTCTTTAAAATCCTTGAAGATGCAGCTAGATCTTTGAAATGCTGTTCCTTTTGCCTGGAACCCTCTGCCCTGCTCCTTCCTTCATAATGAACTTCTGATCGTCTTTCAGATCTTGTCCTAAAAGATGCCTCTTCAGTAGGATTTTAACTGACCTCTCACACTGGCTTGAATTGAGAGTTGATAAACTATTTCCTGTCAACCCAATTTGGCCAATTGACTGTTTTTGTCAATAAAGTTTTATCGAAACACAACTATGCCCACTCATTTACGTGTTCCCTAATGGCAGAGTTGAGTAGTTGAGACAGACAATATATGGCTGAGAAAACTTAGAAAAAATACTCTCTGGCCCTTTGAAGAAAGAGTTTGCCAGTCCCTGGGGTTAGATCACCCAGTTTATATGCTCCATCAGCAACTTGTCCTTTAAAGACCTTCATGATAGATTCTATTTAACGTCTCTCTTCCTTCCTGGAACTTGGGTTCCATGAAAGTAGGGACTTGCCTTTTTCTCTGCTATAACCTTATCTGGCAAGCGTGGTAAACATACAATAATTTTTTATGAATAAATCAATTAATAAACCATTATTCATTCCTAAGGCAGATATGACTAGCTGCCTTATCAGTATCTTTTCTCCTCTATTTCCTTAGAAATAGGGCTCAAGTTTTTTGTGAGTGCCAATTTAAAAAAAAACATGTTTTTAAGCTTTCCTTGCAGCTAAATTTGTTATATGACTAAGTTTTGGCTATTGATAAGTGTGTGATGTCTGAAAAGACTGGTTAAGAGAGTTGATTCAGGACTTTTATCCTCTCCTCTCCCTGATTTCTGCACCTGGAATCTGGAACGTATATGTAATGACTGGAGTTCCAGCAGCCATCTTATCCTAGGCAGTGACCCAAGGGTAGAGGGAAAAGATGGAAGGAGCCTGACTCTGCCTCCCTGAAAAGTTGATAGAATTGTCCTGTTTTTGATTATCCACTTCAGGGATTCTTTTATGACAGAAAAAGTGAAATCCTGAATGTAAACATTAAAAGCCACTGTAGTTGGGCTTAAATTTCTAACCAATATAATTGGTTAGAAAGGTATCCCTCTCTCCCTTCTCCCTACCCTCCCCAACCCCACTTGGACTTCTCCCTTTGGTAAGACCAACCCAAACATGTGCTACCTGTTGTAATAATTTGCCAGGCTACCATCTTGGTCTGATACTGCAGTTGAGCTCTGATGTTGCGATTCACCTCTGTCCAACAAACTGCTGGCCATTTGCCTTCATTTTCTTAATCTCATTTAAAACTTCAGTGTTTAACACCTGGCCTCTCCCTGTCTTCTGGAACACTCATAGCTTAAAGAAAGAAGTGTTGTCGGCATTTCCAGAAAGGAAAACAAAACTCTAAACTCTTCTTCCTTTAATCTTTTCTCCATTTATTTGAGAGAAACTTACTGACCTGTATTACGTGCTAGGCATTGTGATAAGCATAACCTTCAAGGGGCTTACTTCTAATATCCCAAATGATCAACCGTTTCTTTTTTTAAAAAATCCAACTATCTATCTATTTATTTATCTATCATCAATTATCTACCTATTTAGTAATCTATCTGTCAAGACATTGCTTTAGTAAGAGGGACATTTCAAAACAATTATATTTGCAACAAAAAAGTGTAAATGAGAAGATGATTTAATTCAGGTATTGACAAACTGGGCCCTGGAAGCCAAATTCAGTCCACTACCTTTTTGTAGGGCTCAATAACTAAGAATGGTTTTTATCTTTAAACAACCAAACAAACAAACAAACAAATGAAACGTTTAATGTTCAAGGGTACATTTGCAGGTTTGTTATACAGGTAAATTCGTTTCACTGAGGTTTGTTGTACAGGTTACTTCATCACCCAGATACTAAGCATAATACCTGATAGTTATTTTTCTGATCCTCTCCCTCCTCCTGCCCTCCATCCTCAGGCAGTCCCCAGTGTCTGTTGTTCCCCTCTTTGTGTCCATATATTCTTCTTATTTGGCTCCCACTTAGTTTGGTTTTCTGTTCCTGTGTCAGTTTGCTAAGGATAATGGCCTCTAGCTCCACCCATGTTCCTGCAAAGAACACGATCTCATTCTTTTTAATGGCTGCATAGTATTCACGTGTATGTGTACCACATTTTCTTTATCCTATCATTGATGGGCATTTAGATTGATTCCATGTTTTTGCTATTGTGACTAGTGTTGCCGTGAACATAACATGTGCATGTGTCCTTATGGGGTTTTTACCTTTTTAAATACTTGGAAAAAATAATCGAAGGGAAAATAATATTTTGTGACATATGAAAATTATATGAAATTTGAATTTTAGTGCCCATAAATAAAGTTTTATTGGAACACAGTCATGGCCACTCATTTACATGTCATCTATTATTGCTTTTGCTCTACTACAGCAGAGTTGAGTAGCTATGATAGAGACCATAAGGTTTACAAAGCCTAAACTTTTTATTATCTGGCCCTTTACAGGAATAATTTGCTGACCCCGAATTTAATGGAATCTCTCCTCACTCCCACCCTAGATTGGGTGGCCAAAAAATCACAAGGTTTGGCAAAGACACTGAGACACCGGCTGGTAAGGAACTCTCATGGTGAATAGGTATTTTCCCCATTATTTGATTTCCCACTTTCAACTTAAAACCCACTAAGAAATAATTCAATGAGATCATCACTTCTAGAACCTTTATCTGGAAAAATTCAAGTAATCTCCAAGATGAGATATAATTCTCTCATTGGAGAAGAGAAACGGCCCCAGGAAAAGACTATAGCTCAAGGACATACCTGTTTTCCCTCCTACTTTCCAATGATTCAGGTAGCTCAAGTAAACCTTTGGCTTCACCAAGGTTGATGAGTTCAACAACAAAGGGAATATCTTATTGCTCAACTCCAGGTGTGGGGAACTGGAGGAAACCCAGGCTGTCTTCTACGGTGGCCCTGGTGGACGAGTGTTGCAAGCACAGCCGGTATTTGCAAAGTCAAAGTCCCTGATTATAGCCTCGTTCCAAAGGAACTTGGTGTTTTTCTCTGTAATTGAAGTTAATTTGATTTATATTTACCCTCTAAGGTCAAGGAAACCTGGATCTAACATCAATCCATCTGTTCTTCCCCTAAGTGTTTTCTAATCCCTCTTCAGTGACATAAATTGTCCCCAGTTTCTCCATCCTCCTCTCATCCTTATTTTGTTCCTGCCACTGAGATAACACTGAGCAAATCTTCATGAGCATATGACACTTTCGATCATCAGGTCTGCCTTAAGTGAAGTCAGCCAAATTCTTCTACTTTTATGACTTTTAATATTGTCACTGTCATCATTTTGATAATCATGCTCTAGTAAACACTAGCATATATTTTTAAAAAGAATTTCTTTGCCTAAAATCTGCTAATATAAATGAATGGCCTGTCTTAATGAATTAATTGGTTTGGGATGTCAAGTACATGTATCAATAAAGAGAGAACAGGGAAGGGGACGATTTAAGAGGATAGTGGAGTAAGAAACATTTTATTATTTATTAAAATGGAGTTCTGGGCCCAGGGTTAAAACATAAATATTATACAACATGTGAATTAATTCTCTCTATAAAAGATTTAAACAATAAAGAAACATATTGAATAACATGTACAGAGATCCCCCCCCCTTGCCTCTACTTCCTCTTCTTTCATGTCATTAGTTGGGTATCTTTGAGCTCTTGTCTCTGTGATAAATTTTTCCAAGGATTGCTGTCTTATTTTTGTCATGAAAAACAATACTGCTACGTACCTATTATAAATATGCAAGTAGTTTTGCAGGATGGATTCCTAGAGGAAGATACACTGAGTCAAAAGATAATACGTTTTACATTTTGATGGAGAACTGCCGATTTGCTTTCCAGAAAGGTGTTTCTAATGGGAACATCTAATAATTGGGTACCATGCTCAATACCTGGGTGATGAGACCAGCCATACTCCAAACCTCAGCATCAAGCAATATACCCATGGAACAAACTTGCAGATGTACCCCCTGATTCTGAAATATGAGTTGAAATTATAAAACAAACAAACAAACAAAAAGAAATATCCAATAGTTTTTTTTTTTCATGGGCATAAAAGTACCTGTTTGGCTGGATCTTCACCAATACTGAATTTTTTTTTTGTTTTCATTTTTGTTGTTGTTGTTTGAGAAACAGTCTTACTCTGTCGCCCAGCCTGGAGGGGTGCGCTCTCAGCCCACCGCAACATCAGCCTCCTGGGTTCCAGTGATTCTCATGCCTCAGCCTCTAGAGTAGCTGAGATTACAGGCATGCACCACCATGCCCGGCTAATTTTTGTATATATTTTTGGTAGATACAGGGTTTCACCATAATGCCCAGGCTGGTCTCCAACTCCTGGCCTCGGCCTCCCAAAGTGCTGGGATTACAGGTGTAAACCACTGCGTCCAGACCTGAATGTTATTAATTTTTTTAAAAAAATTTGCCCCTTGGGCAAAGAAGGATAGCTCATTATTATAATATTATTTTTAAAAGTCAAGTTTACTGAAACATATACAACAAAATTTACTCTTTTAAGGATACAGTTTGATGAATTTGACATGTATCCATCACTGCAATCAAGAAATAGAACAATCCCGTTACCCAAACATGTTCTTTTGTGCTTCTCTGTAATAAATTCCCTCCTCTCACCTCCAGCCCCTGGGCCCCACTGATATGTTTCCTGTTCTTGTAGATTTAGCTTTCCCAGGATGTAATAGAAATGGAAATTATATATAGTCTTTGGTGTCTGGCTTCTTTCACTTAATACAATGAATGCTTTGAGATTCTCCATGTTTTTCTATGTGCCAATGGTTTGTTTCTTTTCATTACTGTGTAGTATTCCATTGTATGCATATACCACAATTTGTTTATTCACTCATAAGTTGATAGACATTTGGGTTGTTTCAATAGTTTGGATTATTGTAAATAATTATGCTATAAATATTCATTTTTAGGTCTTTGTATGAACATATGTTTTCATCTCTTCTGGAGATGGAAGAGAAGGAATGAGATTTCTGTCTTATATTTGTTAGTACACAGTTAACTTTATAAAAACTGGCAACTGTTTTCTAAAGTGGCTACACCATTTTGCACCCCAACTGTATTGGTTTGCTAGGGCTGCCATAACAAAATACCCAGATTGGGTGACTTAAACAACAGAAATTAATTTTCTCACCATTCTGGAGGCTGGAAGCCTGAGATCAAGGTATTGGCAGGTTGGTTTCTCCTGAGACCTCTGTCTGTGGTTTGTGGCTGGCTGCCTCTTCCAGTGTCTTCCCATCACCTTATCTCTGTGCATGTCTGCATCCAGATATCCTATTTTTTGAGGACACTAGGTATATCGGATTAGGGTCCATCCATTCTAATGACCTCATTTCAACATGATCACCTCTTTAAAGACCCTATCTCCAAATACATTCATCTTCTCAGGTATTGGGGTTTCGGACTGCAATATACTAATGTAGCGTGGACACAATTCAGCCCTTAAGACTCATCAGTAAGGTATGAGGGCTTCAATCATTCCACATCCTCGTCCACACTTGGGATTGTCAGTCTTTAATTTTAGCCATTCTAGTAGTGTGTAGAATTCATTGTTGCTTTAATGTGCCCACGTTTTTCTTTTTGAGCAAAGAAGAGCCTCGGTGTTTGTGAGTTAGCTCAGTCCTGTTGCTGAGAAGACCAGGGCCATTGTTGTATCCACTTAGGGACCAATCCATGTGGCAGCCATTCCAAAAAGGTGTGTTATTGTTTAGACTCCAAGAAAGTGTGGACGGTTCAGTGCAAACCTTTCACCACTCCTTGCAAAATGGCTTTCGTCTGACTGATGGTTTGAGGTCTTCACTTTTTCTTGGAATGAATGAGAATTGTAAGAGCACTTGAAGTCAGATACAGCCAACACTTGCAGCAGGCTGATGGTTTCAGCTTTCTCAAGATAACACTAAAATGGGTAGTCTGGCTAATGGGGACTCTGGAAAAATAGAATTAGATAAAATGGGGGAAAGATTTATGATATGAATGAGAGATGCCTTATGTTGGGGGGGCAGGGTAACTCATCAACTTATTGGATCTATTATGATCAAGTTTGCTTAACCCAACACAAGTCTCATTCAAGATAAAACTAGACATTATTCTGGGACACAATCAAGCAGAATGAACTGACAAATGACATGCCTCTTAAGAATTACCCTTCCAAGTAGTCGGGTATACAGATATAAATATGGATACAGACATAGATATTTATGGATATCTTTTGCAATGCAATTGATTCTTTTCTGTTTTCAGTAGATGCTTCCATTTCAGATCCTCATAGCACAAAAATTTAGATCCATTCCTTTTTCTTCCCATTTCCCTTTTCCCTCTCCCAGCCGCCCCCAAACTCAGGCACACAAAAGTGACCCTGATAGATGTAGAGTGATATTACGATTGATTGGCCTGCCACTGATGGTGCGTATGTGTTTTGTCGTTAGTGGGGAGGGTGAAAGGGGGGCCGGGTAATAGAATGATTTGGCCTACAAGACAGCTCCTCCTTGATGAACAGTCAGACACAAATGTCAATAACAATTGGATTGTCTGTAAGCTACAGTCACTTAGGGCTCCCGGAGCCTGTCCACAGAGCCTGGATTGAAAACCTCAGCCTTGTGAACTCCAAATCAGGTTTGGCATTGGGAATGAAATGCCATCAGCAGTAATAGTATTATGAGGCTGTTGGTCGAAGAAGTGCAAAGGGCTCTGAATAATGCTTGGGCTCCCATGTGTCACAGGGTAGAGAAAGGCTGCATGGAAGAGAGGAGATGAGAGGGAAAACAAGGTAGGGGCTGGTGAGCTCTGAGGGGCACCTATAGTGCTACAGGCATGGAGTTGGAGCTTGCTTGCTCTTATGTTTGGAGATTGGTGAGGCCTCAGTTGGATCAGATGGCTGGGACACCTACACATGGCATCTCCATGTAGCTACTTGTCTTCCTTACAAGACGATGGCTAGGTTCCAATGGTGAGCATCCTGAGAGAAGTGAGAAGAAAGCCAGGTGGAAGAAATATTGCCTTTTATGACTTCTCCTGGAGGTCACAAAGAGTCACTTTTACTCTTTCTGCTCATCGAAGAAGTCAGAAAATTCTGCTCAGTTTCAAGGAGACTGGAAATAGACTCCATTGCTTGATGGACTGGCAACATTATGGAACTGGCAATATTGCTGTGACTGCTTTTGGAAAGATCCAGTGTGCCACAGTTAATATACATGCAACTCTTTGTAGCTGGCACACAGGAAGTAGATATGATTGCTTTGTTGTTCAAGTTCTTCCTGCAACCAGACATTGCAGGGCGTCGGCAGGTAGAGACGGTCTAATTCTCTGTTACTCTGCACCGTGGAAGACCCCCAGGGATTGTTCAGCAAGTGCTTGTTGAATGATGAATGGGTGATTTTAAATATTTTAACTTAGAAGCTCTTAAAACTGGCTGCTGATCAAAAGTTCTGAGAAGGTTGGTTTAAAATATTCCAAAATTTAACCTCCAACCTACTGAATTCCCCAGGCCTCAGCCTGGGGATGAGCATTTCTAATGTCCTCCTCCAGTGGCTCAGATGCAGGCAGTATGGGGACCAGCATTTACAAACCATTGGTTTGACTCAAGGGAATCCAAGATATTTAAGATGAAAGAACTGGCCCGTTTTACAGACGGGCAAACTGAGACGCGGTGGGACAAGGAGGCTTGTCCAAAGGCACATAGTGAATTAGAGTACATTCCGATAAGCCACAATACAAGAACTCCAGGCACTCTAGCTAGCAGGTGAGTAATAGTGTTGTGGGGCTAGTGATATTTTGTAGTTAGTGATTTGGTGGAGGTGGAGAGAAAGCTCTTCGAGGTCCTTTAAGTTCAGCAATTCTCAAATTTATTTACTTCCCTCACTTTTTCTTTTGCCACATTTGAGTAGGATCTGTAGTTAATACACCTCCTATTTTTTTTAAGTGGACCTACTTTTTCCCATAAGTAGATTTTTCCTCTTCCTCAGTCTTAAGAGCTGCAAAAGGAGAGTGTGATCACTGAGTCCCATGCTGATTCTAACACATACAGCAATGTACACGTGTAGCCAGTTGAATTAAGAAAAGGTTGGTCTGTGGAGCAGCTAAAATTATCTCCTGTACAGTGCATGGTTATGCATATCAAGCAACATCATTTGCAGGCCCAATGAAAAATGAAAATGTGGGGCTTTTTGCTCAAAAATTATTAAGAATCTTAAGACAGCAACAGCAGAGCATTTAGCAACGTGGTGCGCTCTTCTGTATGCAGGGACCCATGCAACTGTGCAGGTCCCACGCCCATGAAGCCAGCACTGGCTGACTTTGGGAAGCACTGTTTTAAATAAAACCACTCAGCCTGCTCAGCCCAGGTTCCTGGGCGAGAGAAAGTGGGGGCCCTGCCATCTATGCACACTCAAGGGGTGGCCAGGAATCGAAAGGCTGGACGCTGGCCAGGCACGGTGCCTCGCGCTTGTAATCCCAGCACTTTGGGAGGACGAGGTGGGCGGATCACCTGAGGTCAGAAGTTTGAGACCAGCCTGGGCAACATGGTGAAACTCCATCTCTACTAAAAATACAAAAATTAGCTGGTGGTGGTGGGCGCCTGTAATCTCAATTTACTCAGGAGGTTGAGGCAGGAGAATCGCTTGAATCTGGGAGGTGGAGGTTACAGTGAGCTGAGATCGTGCCACTGCACCCCAGCCTGGGTGATAGTGTGAGACTCCGTCTAGAAAAAAGAAAAAAAGAAAAAGAAAAAAAGCAAGGCTGGATGTGAGCTGTGGGCTCTTCATGCAGCTGAAAGCAAATATGGTCTTGCTAAACTTCTGGTACAGGAATTCTGAACCCAGGAGAGCCAAGAGTTATGCCTAAGAGGCAGTTTTCATGGAGGCACCAGGGGGAATAGAAAAGAGGGATACTCTCCAAAGTGGAAGTGAGGGCACTGCCCTTGTCTGTGTGCCTGTTTGGTGATGAGTTCTCTGTAGTTAATACTTATGTGCTGGGATAAATATTTTAATATTTTCCTTCCATTGTCATGGAGGAGGGAAGGAGCAAGAGAATTGGAAGAAGAGAAGGGGCTGGGAGAGGCGAGAGAGAAAGGATGGATCCAAAAAAAGAAAAATGTTATGTAGATTTATAGAACCCTCAAAATAGTTTCAACATCCTTTCTGGCCTGGCTGTCTTGTTACCTTCAGGTGGCTGCCAATATCTGTGAAAAACTCCGGGCTCCTGGCTTTTCAGGGTCAAAATACAGAGCATATGTATTGCTTAGAGCAGAGCCAGGGGACTATGTTCCTTGGGTTTTGCGTTCTAGGACATCAGCAGCAATTTTAGAAGCGTTGCTATTTCAACTGGGTTGGTATTTCACACGCATTTTTAAATGGAGACAGGCAAGCCCAAATACCCTTTGCAGAGGCTGCTCTCCCGCAGAAAAGCTGTGAGGTCGGGAACAATTGTTTCTGCTGCTTGGAATGAAACCAGTTAAAGCCGTTTTCAATTCACCATGGAGAGATTCTGCAGGAAAGCTATGTTTTGTTGTAAGACACATTAGCTCTTACAAAAATCTTTGTCTTGACTTTTTTTTTTTTTTTGCTTTGTCTTGTTTTGTCTTGCTCTCCAAGCATGTGAGCTGAAACAAATGAATAAGTAAAACGTCTATTTAATGAGGATTCAAGCTATGTAGCCCCAGAGGAAGGAAGTAGGACTTTTAAAATAAAGAACGTCATCTATTCTCTGCCACAGACTGGAACGTCGTGGTGTCTCAGCACCAGCCCAAGCACTTTGGAGAGCTTATTGAATCCCATCCTGAACAGCAGGTGGTAGGTATGTTATTTTCCATTCATAGAGGCTGAAACTGAGGTTCCGAAGGCTGAAGTGACTTGGCCAATTTGCACAACTTGTAGGTGCTGCAACTGAGATTCAAATCCATGCTGCCCCAACTCTCAAGCCCTGTCATCAAGCAGGGACACTCTCCTTTCCTTAGCTGTGACATGTTACTCTCATTCAGTAACTTATTCCTTCAACAAAATATTATTGAGCACCTACTAGGTGCCAGGTGCAGTCTTGGGCATTATTGATGTAACAGTTCTGCGTTTCGTTGCTCCATTTTACAACCCTGGCTTTTCTTTCTCCTCTTCATTCATAACCTTTATTTTTTAATTTTTTGAGTCAGGGTCTTGCTCTGTCACCAGGCTGGAGTGCAGTGGTGCCATCATGGCTCACGGCAGCCTTGACTTCCTGGGCTCAAGCAACCCTCCCACCTCATCTTTCGTAGAGACGCGGTCTCACTATGTTGCCTAGGATGGTCTCAAACTTCCAGCCTCAAGTGATCCTTCTGCCTTGGCCTCCCAAAGTGCTGGGATTACAGGTGCCTCCTCTCCATTCAAAAAACACTCTGCAAAGCTCAGTTAGCAATGAATCCCTCTTTGCCTTCCTCTGTGGGAGCAGTTACCCACTGGACTTTGCTTGTGTGTTAACTTGCCTATCCTCTCCATCAAAAGGTGAACTCCAGGAGGATAAGAGGCTGCATCAGGAACAAGTAGTGTTTTGTTTCCCCAGTGCTGGCTTTTGGCTTTGTCTTGTCTTTCTCTCCAAGCATTGAGCTGAAACAAGTAAATAAGTAAAACTTCAACTTCATGAAGATTCACGCTATATAGCCCCATAGGAAGGAACTGGGACTTTAAAAATAAAGGACATCATCTATCCTCTGCCATAGACGGGACTGTTTCTTCTAGAAACATCTTTATCCACTTCCTTTTGGAAACTGCTTCTCTTCTAACAGTGGCGCTTCGACAGGAACGTCCAATCACAGCATTCCACCTCTGACCACAGTGATTGGTCCAGGCCTGAACATGTGACTCAGTCTTGACCAATCAAATTGCTTCCTTAGGATTTTTCCTAGGGCCTTGGTGGAGAAGAGTGTTGTCCTTGCTGTTGTTTGTGTAGGTGTAGCTTCCATTCTGGCTTCCTGGTGGCATGCAGCCTGAGGGAATTAAAGGAACCCAAAAGGAGAAGTGGGGATGACAGAAATAAGAGACAGGGACTGGCTGGGTCTGAGACTTGGTTATAGGCATCCCTAAGGCCAGTTTCACCTCTGCCCCTTCTGTGGCTTGACAGAAGAGTTGCTATTCCTCCCCATCTCTGTATTTGATTAGTTTTAGTTAGAATTGTCTTTGTGTCGCTTACACACAGAGAATCCTGACTAGCACATTCTAGGTAACCATGATGACAAACGCATGAGAAAAGCTGGAGTAGAGTGCTAAAGCCATTTACATCAGCAAGTGTGAGGTATCACGGCATAGATGTGGGAGGGGAGAGGGTGGTGGTGGCCCCGCTGCTGGTAGCACTGTTAGGGGGTTGGATATCACCACGGTTAAGAGTCTGTGCTTTCTGTTGGTGGGACTGTAAACTAGTTCAACCATTGTGGAAGACAGTGTGGCGATTCTTCAAGGATCTAGAACTAAAAATATCATTTGACCCAGCCATCCCATTACTGGGTATATACCCAAAGGATTATAAATCATGCTGCTATAAAGACACATGCACATGTATGTTTATTGCGGCACTATTCACAATAGCAAAGACTTGGAACCAACCCAAATGTCCATCAGTGATAGACTGGATTAAGAAAATGTGGCACATATACACCACGGAATACTATGCAGCCATAAAAAGGATGAGTTCATGTCCTTTGTAGGGACACGGATGAAGCTGGAAACCATCATTCTGAGCAAACTATCGCAAGGACAGAAAACCAAACACCGCATGTTCTCACTCATAGGTGGGAATTGAACAATGAGAACACTTGGACACAGGCTGGGGAAACATCACACACCGGGGCCTGTCATGGGGTGGGGGGAGGGGGGAGGGATAGCATTAGGAGATATACCTAATGTAAATGACGAGTTAATGGGTGCAGCACACCAACATAGCACATGTATACATATGTAACAAACCTAAACCTGCACGCTGTGTACATGTACCCTAGAACTTAAAGTATAATAATAATAATAATAATAATAAGAGTCTGTGCTTTGAGAGACTAACAGTCTTAGGTTCCTATCCCAGTTTTTGTCCAAGACTAATTGTATAATAATAGGCAAGTCACTTAACCTAAGCCCCTTATTTTCTTTTTGTTTGTTTGTGTTTTGAGATGGAGTCTCGCTCTGTTGCCTAGGTTGGAGTGCAGTGGCATGATCTCAGCTCACTGCAACCTTTGCCTCCTGGGTTCAAACAATCCTCCTGCCTCAGCCTCCCAAGTAGTGGGGATTATAGGCGTCCGCCACCATGCCTGGCTAATTTTTGTATTTTTAGTAGAGATGGGGTTTCGCCATGTTGGCCAGGCTGGTCTCGAACTCCTGACCTCAGGTGATCTGCCCGCCTCGCCCTCCCAAAGCTCTGGGATTACAGGCGTGAGCCACCACGCCCAGCCTCTGAGCCCCTTATTGGTATTACTGAGAGAAACAGGAAGGGCACTGCAGGATGGCGTGTTAATGGACCAAAATTCCTGGAGCTACAAAGTGTTTAGAAAGGCCCCCGCATTGTTCTTTGTCACCTGTCACCTGTCACTTCATGTGTTTCCAGCAACATTAATTGAAAGTATTTCCCATTTGTGAGGCATCTGGGACACAGCATTTAGTCGAATAGTGGTCGTCCCTGCTCCTTTTGAGCTCACACTCTAGTGGGCAGATATATAAATAAGTCACTACAAAATGGTCCTAAGAGGGGAGATGTTCGGGGTGCTGTGGATGCATTTGTGGGTGCGGGAATCTCATCCAGAACTGAGAGTCAAGGAAGGCTTCCTAGGGAAAGAGATCTAGAAGTTGAGACATGAATAGTGAGTAGAAATAGGGCAGACAGAAGGGAAGAGGTGCTCCTGGTAGGAAACCCAGCATAGGCAAAGACTCAGAAGTGAGAGTGAGGAGGGCTCCTTTTAGGAAACTGACAATCAATTGAGCCTGGCTAGAATAGAAGGCAGGAATAATCAGAGCTGGGTCTGGACAGGCCAGTGGAGCAGATTACGCTACGTCTGGGATTTCGTGTCGAGACATCAGGACTTCATCTTTAGGGGCATGGGTACCTTTGAAGAATTTACACAAGACGCGCTTCAGGGCTTGTGTAGTAGTTGAAGCAGAGAAGGAGTCAGACTCGAATTCTGGATCAAACACAGAAAACGCTTGTAAATCTCAACTTCCCATTTTACAGATGGAAAAACTGAGTTCCTAAGAAGAAAACTGGCTTGCCTAGTGCTGCAGAGCTGGTGAACGAGGAGGCTGGAATCAGAGCCTGGGTCTTCAGATCTCAAACCAGCATTTTGCTTTTTTCTGTCCCTGGAGTTCTCCCACTCTCAGCCCCTACCTGGGCCAAATCCAGCCCCTGGCAGTTCCTCTGAACTCGGGAAGAGCTCTGATTCCTCACGTACACACAGCCACGCTGTCTCAGGAAGCTCGCAATAAATTTTTTTTTTCAGGCAACGCCTTGCTCCCATCCCTGCAAAACAATGTATTTATTATTACTAAGTCTTTTCCATCTTTGAGGAGAAAATGCGTACCACATGACTCCCCAAAGCCGAGTGGTCCAGGTTTACAAATACAGTACGTTAATAGCTTTGTAAACATTTATTCAGGATGACAGCTGAGGGAAACATGTGGCATTAATTAGAGGGCTCAGCAACACGGCCTATTAAGAGGAAGGTTAAATCTGAATTAGTTGGCTTTGCTGAGACAAGAGGCACTGGGGAGCAAAACTCTGCTCTAATACGTTCTGACTCTGTTGACGTGGGGTGTGCTGGGGTGCACGGGGGTCTCCGCTCTTAGAGAGGAAGGCTGTGTCTTGGCAAGATGGCTGCTGAGTCACTGGGCTGCAAAATTGTCAGGGCTGGCTTCCCCAGAGGTCTCTTCCCTGAGTCCTTCAAGCCACAGGACACCCTGAGCTTGCAGCCCATCCTGGGCAGCAGTAGAACAGGTCTAGCAGAATCAGCTCCTGAGGCCTGACGGGTTGTTGGGGGAACAGCTCTCTGGGCTGGGAGTTGCTGCTCCCTCTGGTTTGCAGTTCCCCCTCTCTGAGCTTCCCTAGCTTCCTGGGTTTCCATGCTGAGCAGTTTGCATTGTCTCTGCCTCTGGGTACCCATGAGTGTCCCCAGTTGATGTGGGAGCCAGCCACAGAGGAAAATAGATTCCCTGTTTCCAACATTCAATAAGGTTTAGCTTACAGTAGATGCCTTTAGGACTATTTATTCTCGGCCTCATATTCATGAGGGGTCTCAAATGGAGACGTTTGAGTTTATCTCCAAATAGTCACACATCCGCACACAGAAATGTCCCAAAAGCAGGGAAAAGAGGTGACATTTGTCACAATACTCCAAACGTATGTTCCATACTGGGAGTATATCCCATATAGAGAGTTATACATAAACATCCTTTTTTTTTTTCATAAATCTTTTAATTATCTTTTTTTTTTTTTGAGATGGAGTCTTACTCTGTTGCCCAGGCTGGAGTGCAGTGGTACAATCTCGGCTCACAGCAACCTCTGCTTCCTGGATTCAAGCAATTCTCCTGCCTCAGCCTCCCAAGTAGCTGGGATTAGAGGCACCTGCCACCATGTCCAGCTAATTATTGTATTTTTAGTGGAGACAGGGTTTCGCCATGTTGGCCAGGCTGGTCTCAAAGTCCTGGCCTCACGTACACACAGCCACACTGTCTCAGGAAGTTCCCAGTAAATTTTGGCCTGCCTGGGCCTCCCAAAGTGCTGGGATTACAGGTGTGAGCCCCCACACTTGCTGCATCCTGGTTTTTATGTCCCATTTTGACCTTTCTTCATCGTAAATATTCCCAGGAGCCTCTAAATACAGAAAGGACTCTCTTAACTTCTGAGAACCTGGCTGGTGGTCTGGGAATATATGTTGAATGGATGCATGAAAGAATGAGTGACCCTGGGAAGCCATGTACCTTCTTTGGGGCTCAGTTTTATCGTCTGTATAATGGGCTGATGGGCAGGGAAGGAGGGCTGGCCAAGTGGGGGCTGAGGATGCAGTGGTCTGCAGCACAGTGCAGAGCTCTGGCTTCCACTCTTCCAGCTCTGCCTGTAGGATGCTCTGATCCCTCTGTCCTGGTGCCACTCTCTTTGTTCCTCTCCTCTGGACCTTCTGATTGAGCCACCCTCCTGTCTTCCCATTGCTCAGATCAAACCCTCACTTGGCATCTGATGTGGATGGGATGATCCAGAAACAGATCCAAGCTTCCTTCCTTTTGGCACTATCTTTAAACACCCACTTTCCCCCCTTCTCTTCTCCACTCACTATGCAGGCAACAGAAGCTCAAAGACACTTTCTCATTTAGTGGTTTTCAAACATTGTTGTTTTCCTTCAAACAAACAAAATTGTAATGTAATATCTAAAATAGACAACATAGGGCATGAAGTGTGTGTGTGGGGTGTGAAGTAGGGGTAGGAGGCCTTTCCCCTCCCTCTCTGGAATCCTCTAGGATGTTGCAGAAGCTTTTGCAAAGCCTTGATCTAACTCCTCATTGAATGGATGGAGACCCTGCCACCCAGCAGGGACAGTGCCTTGCCTAGTTGGGAAGGGCTGGGGCTAGAAGCTGGTTCTTCCCACTCTACCTTGTTCAAGAGTCCAGAAGTTTGAAAGAGCCTCAGTGGTAACTCTGGCAGCAAAGAATTACTACTCATTGGACTGGAAGTAGGAGTAGAGGGGTTATGAGAGAATGGCCAGGAGTTAGACCCCCTGGGTTCTAATCCTGGCCTTCCTACTTAGGAACTGTGTGACTCTGAGCAAGCTGCCTTGCCTCTCTGTGCCTCAGTTTCCTTATTGCCAAAAAGGGAACAATAATAGCTACTTTACTGGGTTGTGGTGAGGGTCAAATGAGATGGGACACATATATTTAGCACTAGAGCCTGATACACAGAAAGGACATTGTTTTCAAGGTGTTCAACTTATTATCTCATGTTGAACTCATCTCATTTTTTACTAATATTTTACATTTTATATAATTAAATTACATGACATTTATGAATACAACTGGCATCAATAGGTTTGGGAACAAAGACAAGCAACTGCTGGTGATCATATAGCTCAGCTGGTGGGGGCTGGTTTGAATGAGATTCCACCGAGGAGTCTCCCAGCTCAAGTATTTCTGGGGGTGTTAGTAACTATCAACATACAGTTGATCCTTGAACAATGCAGGGGGTTGGGGTCCTCCCTCAACCCACCCCTCTTGCACAGTTAAAAATTTGCATATAACTTTTGCCACCTCCCCCAAAACTTAACTGCTAACAGCCTACTATTGACTGGAAGCCTTTCTAATGGCATAGTCAATGAACTCGTCTTTTTAAAATATTATATATATATACATGATATACTGTATTATATATTATATGCTATATTATATATGTATCATATACTATATTCTTACAATAATATAAAATTATATTATTTATTCTTACCGTAAAGAAAGATAGAGAAAGGAAAATGTTATTAAGAAAACTATAAGGAAGAGAAAATATATTTATGATTCATTAAATGGAAGTGGATCATCGTATAGGTCTTCATCCTCATGGTCTTTGAGTCGGCTGAGGAGGAGGAGGAGGAGGAAGGATTGATCTTGCTGTCTCAGGGGTGGCAGAGGCAGAAGAAAATACGAGCAGCCTCATGCAGTTCAACTCCATGTTGTTCAACGGTCAACTGTAATCCATGGAGGGAAATCTGGTGAGTAGGTCAAGAGGAGGTTGGTTAAGAGAATGTCAATAACATTGTGACCCCTGTTTCACAGATGAGGAAACCAAGACACAGAGAGGGGTGGTAACTTGCTCAAGCTCACATAATCAGTTGGCTATGGACCTGAGCGGCCCTGCACCCCATGTACTCCTCTTGAGAATTCACAAGGCACATCAACACATCAAGGGCCCTGCGGTGTCCTACAGGAAAGGATCCTGTTTGATTTTGCCAATTTGAGCTTTGTCTAACTTATTTAATTATGACTTCTTATAACATCCTCTTTCCCCTTCAAAAGTATATAAAACCAGCCAGGTGTGGTGACTCATGCCTACAATCCCAGCACTTTAGGAGGCTGAGGCAAGAGGATCACTTGAGGCCAGGAGTTTGAGACCAGCCCTGACAACATGGCGAAAACCTGTGTCTACTAAAAGTACAAAAATAAATAAGCCTGGTGTGGTAGCGTGCGACTGTAGTCCCAGCTACTCAGGAGGCTGAGGTGTGAGAATCGCTTGAACCCAGGAGGCGGAGGTTGCAGTGAGCTGAGATCCGGCCACTGCACTCCAGCCTGAGCGACAGGGTGAGACTGTATCTAAAAAAAAAAAAACACAACATATATGTGTGTATACATATATATGTATATGTGTGTATATATATATATATATATATATATATATATATATATATATATATACACACACACACACAACCTCCTATTACACAGATGCTACAAGTCCGTGGGGACCACCTGGTAAAACCATGGACTTTCATGCTTCTCACCCTGTGATATGCACATGACTCTCCTGGAGATCTTGTTAAAATGCAAATTCTGGGCTAGGCACAGTGGCTGATGCCTGTAATCATAGCACTTTGAAAGACTGAAGCGGGAGGATTGCTTGGCCCAGGAGTTCAAGACCAGCCTGGGCAACAAAGTGAGAGCCCGTCTCTAATATTATTATTATTTTTTAAAGCAAATTCTGCCTTAAGTAGATATGGTATTATTATTATTTTTTTAAAGCAAAATCTGCCTTAAGTAGATACGGGGTGGAGCTGGTGATCCTGCATTTGTCAAAAGCTCCCAGGGGAGGCGAATGTGGTGCTGCTCCATCCTGTGAGTAGCAACAGTCTCCATTTGCACGGTCCAATAGAAATATGTGAGCCATAGATGCAGTTTTAAGCTTTCTAGTAGCCATGTTTTTAAAAAAGGTAGAAAGAAACACTTGATATTCATTTTAACATATTTTGTTTCACCCAATAAAAAATATTATTTCAACATGTGACTAATATAAAGTATAAAACCAGGATAAAAATATAAAATATATAGATAAAAATGTAAAAATGATACCATATATTCTCTTTTAATGTACTAAGGCTTGAAAATCCAGTATGTAGTTTATACTTACAGTATATTTTAATCCGAACCAGCCACATTTCAAGTGTTCAGCAGCCCCGCGTGGCCGGCGGCTTCGCTACCGGATCACACAGCTCTAGAACGCAGGCTGTGGTCTAAGACTGCCTAGCTTACATGTCTGGCTCTGCCACCTGTTTGTTGTGAAATGTGGTCAGCTACTTAACTTTACAGTTTCTTCATCTGTAAAAGGAGACTAACATGAAGGTCACGGCACCTGGCCGGATCATCCTTCCTATAGCTGTCAGGTTCTTCAAATCCAAGACACAACATACAGCACAGCTCTTAAGAAAGATGGTGCCGGGCATGGTGGCTCATGGCTGTAATCCCAGCACTCGGGGAGGCCGAGGCAGGTGGGTCACCTGATGTCAGGGGTTCGAGACCAGCCTGACCAACATGGGGAAACCCCGTCTCTACTAAAAGTACAAAATTAGCTGGGTGTGGTGGTGCACACCTGTAATCTCAGCTACTTGGGAGGCTGAGGCAGGAGAATTGTTTGAACCCGGGAGGTGGATGTTGCAGTGAGCCGAGATCACGCCGTTGCACTCCAGCCTGGGCAACAAGAGTGAAGCTCCTTCTCAGGAAAGGAGAGGACAGGGTAGGGGAGGAGAGGGGAGGAGAGGAGAGGAGAGGAGAGGAGAGGAGAGGAGAGGAGAGGAGAGGAGAGGAGAGGAGAGGAGAGGAGAGGAGAGGAGAGGAGAGGAGAGGAGAGGAGAGGAGAGGAGAGGAGAGGAGAGGAGAGGAGAGGAGAGGAGAGGAGAGGAGAGGAGAGGAGAGGAGAGGAGAGGAGAGGAGAGGAGAGGAGAGGAGAGGAGAGGAGAGGAGAGGAGAGGAGAGGAGAGGAGCCAGGCGCGGTGGCTTACGCCTGTGATCCCAGCACTTTGGGAGGCCGAAGCGGGCAGATCACGGACTCAGGAGATCGAGACCGTCCTGGCTAACACGGTGAAACCCCGTCTCTACTAAAAATACAAAAAATTCACCGTGCATGGTGGCGGGCGCCTGTAGTCCCAGCTACTTGGGAGGTTGAGGCAGGAGAATGGCGTGAACCCGGGAGGCGGAGCTTGCAGTGAGCCGAGATCGCGCCACTGCACTCCAGCCTGGGTGACAGAGGAAGACTCCGTCTCAAAAAAAAGAAGAAAGAAAGATGAATACATCCAAGCTTCTGACATTTTTTTTTTGAAAAATTTTACTGCACATCCAGGCCCTCCTTTGGTCTAGGTAAAGAGAGATTCATCTGGATTCTTCTCTCTGGGTTCTTCACTGTGTGAGCCATGGGTGACATTTTGCTTGTTTCCTGAAGTGCATTTTTTTTTTTTTTTTTGAGATATGGGGTCTCACTCTGTCACCCAGGCTGGAGTGCGGTGGTGTGATCATAAATCACTGCTGCCTTGAACTCCTGGGCTCAAAGGATCTTCCTGCCTCAGCCTCCCAAGTGGCTAGGGCTACAAGCATATGCCACCATGCCTGGCTAATTTCTTTTTTCTTTTTTGTAGAGACAGGGGTGTCACCATGTTGCCTAGACTGGTCTAGGCAAATTCCCGGGCTCAAGCGATGATCCCACCTTGGTCTCCCAAAGTGCTGGGATTACAGGCAGGAGCCACCACTCCTGGCCGGGTGCATAATTTTTTAATGGTTGACTGGCTGTGTGGAGGGGGAAGCAAGGGCTGGGGCCTGGGAAGGGAGGAGTTGGATAAACAGGCAGCCTGGCCTCTTCCGGGCCCAGAGTTTGCTGCAGGTGCATTGAGTAACAAAGGCCTAAGTTCTGTTCTGGGACGGCTGTGCCTGGTCTTTCAGGTATAGATAATAAACATTAGGTAAATGCATGGGCAGATTGAGCCAACGGAAACACAGCCCACAGAACCTCAGAAAAATAACTGAGACGAATGGGCCTCAGGGTTTGAAGGGCTCCTTTTATGAACCTGCCTGAGGATGCAGCCTTTTGTGTGACGTTTCCTTTTCTCTTTTCTTTTTTTTCTCCTTCCTTTCATTTTCTCTTCTACTTTTTCTAATGCAGGAAGGAGGAGGTTGCTTTTATTTAGTCCGAGTGCTTAGGCATTTCCATCAGCCCCAGCTGTGTGTATTTCACGTCCCTGAGACTGTGTCCTTCCTACCCCAGTTTCTCCCAAGCATCTCATGGGCCCGCGGGTGAAGACTTAAGACTTAAAAGACCCATCCTAACCCCAAAGAAACTGGGATGCTTCTCCAAGCTTTGCTTCCCTTTTATGCCAAATCTCTGAGGTCTCCCAGTCTCCAGATTCAACAGGAATCTCAGAGCAGTGCTGGGCTGGGAAGCCTGGGGTGCTGCTTGTGTCTCCTCCTGGAGCTGGAATGGGCACATCCCACCCAGCACACACTCCTGTCTGCTGGGCCTGAGGCAGAGATGGAGCCGGGACCTTCAACACCCATTTCAAAAGGGGAAGGAAGAGCCTTGCCTCAGGACAGCCCATTGGGTTGGTGAAATGGCAGGAGAGAGTTTTCCTTCCATTTTGTCTGCCCACGTTTGGCTTTTCTAAGCATGTCCCTGGCAAGTGTAGTTTTTTGTTCATTTGTTTGTGTTTTTGAGATGGAGTCTTGCTCTGTTGCCCAGGCTGGAGTGCAGTGGCACGATCTCGGCTCACTGCAACCTTTGCCTCCTGGGTTCAAGTGGTTCTCCTGCTTCAGCCTCCCGAGTAGCTGGGATTACAGGTGTGTGCCACCATGCCCAGCTAATTTTTGTATTTTTAATAGAGATGGGGTTTCATGATGTTGGCGAGGCTGGTCTTGAACTCCTGACCTCAGGTGATCCGCCCACCTCGGCCTCCCAAAATGCTGGGATTACAGGCGTGAGCCACCGCGCCCGACCAGCAAGTGTAGTTTTTCATGTATCAGCTCTCTGCATTCCCAACTCCCTGGTGCTGAAAAGAAAGGAGCATGATTAGGGAGATGTTTGAAACACAGGCTTATAGGAGAGAAGACACATTCACAGAACACTGAGCAGACACCAGAAATCCTGACTCCAGTTCCAATGCTGCTGCTGACCACAGTGTGACGAGAGGGCAAAGCTTACACTCCACTCCAGGCCTCAGTTTCCTCATCTTCAAACTGGGAACAGTAGTATTTCTCCTACGTGGAAAGATGTGAGAGTACGTCAACAACTGAGCTGCACCGTTATTAGTATCATGAAACCCCATGGATTTGTAGATGGGGCCTGTCTCATCTTCGCTTGTTCTTCCTTCTATAATTTGAAAACTTCGAGCTTTTTCTTGAAGGAGAAAGACAAAAGGAATAACCGTGGAAAGGGGCCTTGGTTAAAAGATGGCAGGGACGCGTGAAGTGCTGTAAACAGTCATAGCTCAAGCCAGGTTCATGGCCGGGTTCATAGCTGGGTTCATGGCCACATTCTGAAGTTGGCCTGGCAACCCTGTGCTTTAAAAAAAGAAATCGTTATCAGAGCTGCCAAACCAATATTAAAACCAGTGGCTTATGAAAGGGGTTGGCAGTCAGCACCAGGAATCTTTTTGCACCTCTTAATTTTGCAGAAAGAAAGGGGAGCATCTCATCTGGGGCAGTTCTTTCAGTAACACCAACACTAGAAGTGGAAAAGATTGTTTCCCCGTCAGCTGGTCTCATTTCTCGAAGTCTAAGATGGTTCACTTTAGAAATGTCCCAAGAAGCAGGGAGGGACGGCAGAGGAAGTTTCTCAACTTCTAGGCAGAAAAAGATGCTCATGTGATGCGATGAAGTAAGGTGATGTTTTATGAACAGAAATGCAGCGATGCTCAGGAAACCGATCCTGGATGTCTCTGCTTTTATGTTTTGCTCTCCTTGTCTTTTATTTTATTTATTTATTTATTTATTTATTTATTTTTGAGCTAGAGTCTTGCTCTGTCACCCAGGCTGGAGTGCAATGGTGCAACCTCAGCTCACTGCAACCTCTGCCTCCTGGGTTCAAGCTATTCTCATGGCTCAGCCTCCTGAGTAGCTGGGATTACAGCCATGTGCCACCACACCCAGCTAATGTTTTCTATGTTTAGTAGTGATGGGGTTTCACCGTGTTGGCCAGGCTTGTCTTGAACTCCTGGCCTCAAGTGATCCACCCAACTCGGCCTCCCAAAGTGTTGGAATTACAGGCATGAGCCACCGTGCCCAGCCCTCTCTGTCTTTTAAGAAAACATTTTACTTATGTCAGTGAGGGCAACCCAGCACCCTTGAACTTTATTGATGTGAGGCCACATTGATAAATCTTTCTGGAGAGGCAAGTTCCCTAAAAATGTGCAAACCATTTTCCCCAGAAATTCCATTTTAGGACGTTAATTCTGAGGATGTAATTGGAGAAGAGCATGGAGATGTGAAGGCAAAGATGATCACTGTGGTGTTGCTGATGGCAGGAAAAACTGGAAATGACCTTGACGTCAACAATAGGTGATTGGTTAAGAAACGAAGCTATGTTCAGGCACTAGAAAGCTAAGTGGCAGTTAAGAATAATTTCTTTCTTTCTTCCTTCCTTTCTTTATCCCTTTCTTCTTTTCTTCCTCCATCCCTCTCTCATTCTTTCTTCCTTCTTTCTTCCCTGTGTCCTTCCTTTCTCTTTCTCTCCCCCTCTTTCCCTCCCGCCCTCCCTTCCTTCCTTCCTTCCTCCCTCCCTCCTTCTCTCCTTCCATCCCTCCTTCTCTTCCCTCCACCCTCCTTCTCTTCCCTCCTTCTTTCCTTCCTTATTTCCTTTCTGTTTCCTCTCTCCTTTCCTTCTTCCTTCCTTTCTTCCTTCATTCCTTTCTTCTACAAATTTGTTGAGTGTCTGTGTCCCAGACACTGTATATTTAAGTTCACTGACTGAAAAAGATGTTTATGATATTTTCAGTAATATATAATAAAATAAAATAAATGTAAAAGCCAGTTTCATGGATGTATTATATTATTCTACTCTTGTAAATGCATATTTATATATTTATATAATTGGATATGAAATAAAAATGTTTGAAAGGACATGCACCCAAATATCATTGAGCAGTCTTCTCCAGGTGTTGGGATTACAGGTGACTATGCACTCTTCAATTTTTTACTTGATCTGCATTGTCTAAGTTGTCCATGGTAAGGTTCTTGTGTAATTGAAAGTCATGAGGCCCTACATCCTTTGGCCCTGAGCTGCTCGTTCCTATCTTTGTCTCTTATCTTTGTCTCCTATCCACCTGGCCTACTCCACCCTAACCACACAGCTTCTCTGTTCTTTGAACATGTCGGACTTGTTTCTACCTCATAGCTTCCGCATGTGCTGTTCCCTCTGCCGGGAACACTCTTACCCCAGGTCTTTGCTGGCCCTTTCTGATCATTCATGTTTCAACTCAACATCCCCTTAGAGAAGACCTCTACTCCCATTTAATGGAAATTAGCATGGCTCCCTGCACATTTTAATCACACTTCCTCATTTTATTTTCTTCACACTGCTTATGACTCTGAAATTCTCTTGATTTTTCCCTAACTTGTACATTTGTATCTTCTCTACTTGCATGTCAGCTCTATGTGCACAGGGACCCATGTTCTTGGCTTCTGGAACAGAACCTGGCACATAACAAGAAATCAATAAATATTTGCTGAATGAACAAATTCTGGGAAATAAATATTAAAAAAGAGGATTTTTTTTAAGCCCTCCTTTTCTTGCTTGCCAGAGAGATGCAGGGAGTTGGTGGTCTTCAGCTGGAAGGCTCTCTTCACTCTGCCAGTGTACCGTTTCTGACCTAGCACATGACCCTAGTAGGCCCATATCACTCACTGAGCACGCAGTACCCAGGGTCACGCTGGAGTCAGCACCTACCCAGTTGGAGGGATGCTTCTAAATCTTCATAGATTCTACCCCAAAGCACAGGGAGCAGCTTAGGAGTCACAGACACCAGAGATCTAATTTTTGTTCAGTTGCTGATTTGTTGTGTGACGTTTGTCAAGTTATTTAACCTCCCTGGGCTGCAGTTTTCCTAGGCATGTAGTATAGGGGAGAGTCTATCTATTTCCAAATTCACAAGGATGGTGGAGCATCAGTAAGCTAATACCATCCCTCGTGTGCGCTTTCTGCATCTGTCTTGTTGCCTCTTGGGCATCATTATCCCCATTTAATTTCATTTTATTATTTTATTTTATTTATTTTTTGAGACGGAGACTGGCTCTGTCGCCCAGGCTGGAGTGCAATGGCATGATCTCGGCTCACTGCAACCTCCGCCTCCCGGGTTCAAGCGATTCTCCTGCCTCAGCCTCCTGAGTAGCTGGGATTACAGGCATGCACCACCATGCCCCGCTAATTTTTGTATTTTTAGTAGAGATGGGGTTTCACTATGTTTTCCAGGTCTTGAACTCCTGACCTCGTGATCTGCCTGCCTCGGCCTCCCAAAGAGTTGGGATTATAGGGGTGAACCACTGGGCCTGGCCCATTATCCCTGTTTTAAAATTCTTAGACCAGGTCTGGATAGTGAGAAATAAACGTAAATGGTATTATTTGGACTTTTTTTTTTTTTTCCAAAGAGACAAGGTCTCACTCTGTCACCCAGGCTGGAGTGCCATGTTGCGATCATAGTTCAAACTCCTGGGCTCAAGTGATTCTCCCACCTCAGCCTCCCAAGCAGATGGGACTACAGGTGTGCACCACCATGCCTGGCTAATTTTATACATTTTTTTTGTAGAGATAAGGTCTTACTGTGTTGCCCACGCTGATCTCACACTGGACTCAAGCGAACCTCCCACTTCAGCCTCCCAAAGTGTTGGAATTACAGGCTTGAGCCACTGTGCCCGGCCTATTTAAACAATTTTTATATGCCAAAAGCTGTTAATTTCACAGCGTCTTGAAGAATAATACTTGTTCCCATCTTACAGATGAAGAAAGGTAGTGACTTGCTCCGGGGCTCACAGTGAGTAGGAGGCAAAGAAAGATTTGAGTCTATATTATTATCAGCATCAAGGCAGGTCACCTCCAAGTTACAAAGACACACTATTCTTCATGGATGCTGATTTCCTTGTCATTCAAGCCAGGTTGCCCAGATACTGAGAATGACAAAGATCTGAATGGCCAGCTCCTTCTAGATCTGTCAGGATTATTTTCCCAGGGAATAACAAAGGTAAAGATTTAAGGAAAAAAGGTTGTGAAAATCCAGGTCTCATGCAGCTGCATCTCATTAAAATGCTTCAAAGAAGCAAGCAGATATTCACCATTGGGGCCCATCCAGCTTCATCCCAGGAAAGGAATTACAGTCCCTGGGAGGCCAACGCTAGGGAAACTACAGCTATTGGTGCTGAGCTGAATGCCAAGGTTCTTGGTTCTGGCAGGTAGAGGGGAGGAAAGTGAGCTCGAGCCTTTATTTATTTATTTTTATCGAGGTGAAATTCACACAACATAAAATTAACTACTTATTTATTTATTTATTTATTTATTTATTTCTGACAGAGAGTCTCGCTCTGTCGCCCAGGCTGGAGTACAGTGGCGCGATCTCAGCTCACCACAACCTCTGCCTCCCGGGTTGAAGCGATTCTCCTGCCTCAGCCTCTTGAGTAGCTGGGACTACATGTGCCGGCCACCATGCCCAGCTAATTTTTGTGTTTTTGGTAGAGACGGGGTTTCACCACGTTAGCCAGGCTGATCTCGAATTCCTGACCTCAGGTGACTGGCCAGCCTCCCAAAGTGCTGGAATTACAGGCATGAGCAACCGCACCGGTCAAAATTAACCATTTTAAAGCGAACGATTTAGTGGCGCTTAATACAATCACGTGTTGTGCAGCCATCGCTTATATCTCGTTCAATGATATTTTCATCACTACAAAGGGAAACCCTGTCTCAGTAAGCAGTTTCTCCCCATTCCTTCCTCCCTTTCACCCCAGAGGCAACCATTAGTCTGCTCTGCCTCTGGGTTCACCTAATCTGGATATTTCGGATAGATGGAGTTGTACAATATGTAATATTTTGAGTCTGGCTTCTTTCACTTAGTATAATGTTTTTGAGGCTCATAGTATGTATCACTAATTTATGGCTAATATTCCATTCTATGGATATGCCGTATTTGTTTGTCTATTTATCTGTTGTACACTTGGGTTATTTTGTTATTTTATTTTATTTTATTTTATTATTTTATTTTTTGAGATAGAGTCTCACTCTGTCACCCAGGCTTGGAGTGCAGTGGTGACATCACGGCTCACTTTACCCTCTACCTTCCGGGCTCGTGCAAGCCTCCCACCTCAGTCTCCCAAGTAGTTGGGACCACAGACGTGTGCCACTGTACCCAGCTAATTTTTTAGTTTTTGTAGAGACAGGGTCTCATTCTGTCGCTCAGGCTGGTCTCGAACTCCTGGGCTCAAGCGATCCTCCCACCTCAGTCTCCCAAAGTGTTGGGAATACAGGTGTGAGCCACCACACCTGGCCATGTTTCCTTTCTTTTAGCTATTGTGGATTTTGCTACTTCGATTATTAGTGTACAAATTTTTTTTGAGTACCTGTTTTCAGTTCTTTTGGGTATACACTGAGGAGCTGAATTGCTGGGTTGTATGATAACTCTATGTTTAACTTTTTGAGGAACTTCCAGATTGTTTGCCACAGGGACAGCATTCCATTTTACATTACAGGCACTTTACATTCCCACTGGCAACGTGTAAATGTTCCAATTTCTCCACATCCTCACCAACACTTGTTTTTTTTTTGTTTGTTTTTAGCCAACACTAGTTATTTTTCACTTTCTTGATTATAACCACCTTAGTGGGTGTGTAGCAGAGTCTTATTTTCCTAATGACTAAATAATGTTGAGCATCTTTTCATGTACTTATTGGCTATTTGTATATCTTATTTGGAAAAATGTCCTACTCGAGTTCCTTGCTCATTTGTTAATTGGGTTGTTTGTCTTTTTGTTGTTGGGGCTCCAGGCTTTCTTAACCCCACCAGCTGTTTGGCTGTGAGGCTCGTTGGTGAAGAAGTGAGATGCAAAAAGACCTGTCCCCATAATTCCTTAACAATGAAGTGATTCTATCTAATCTCTCTCTCTCTCTCTCTCTCTCTCTCTCTCTCTCTCTCTCTTTCTCATTGAAACAGAGTCTTGCTTTATCACCCAGGCTTCAGTGCAGTGGTGTGATCATGACTCACTGCAGCCTCAAGCTCCTGGGCTCATGCAATCCTCCCAACTCAGCCTCCTGAGTAGCTAGGACTACAGGCATTCCTCACCATGCTTGGCTAATCTATCTAACTTTTAATGAAGAAGTTTCATCAGACTCACAAAGAAGTTTGGAAGCCTTCCTTCTATCGGAATACTAGAAAGACTTTTATGATTCTTGCTAAAAAGTACTAATTCTAGGACACAAACAGTTCCTCTCATTAAGAGAACATTCTACACCCTTAAGTCCTTTTAATCATTTATAACACTCTCTCTTTATCTCTCATATGGAAACAATATGTACTATTTTCCATATGCTATAATTATCCCCTTTGATACAACCATGTGTGAAAACATGTACAACATGCCAAGTATTATCCACCTGGCCGATTTACATGCACTTTTTTTTTAACTTTGGATTTTGCTTTGTGGATTTTTACAGCCATATTACACAAACTTAGCCAGAAAGACAGTGAATGGAAAATGCAGCAAGATTCCAGATTTCTCTCCCTCCTTTCATCTTCGGCTTCTCTGTAATTCCATTAACCTGTCAAAAGCTTTGGAGCCAGCAATATCCTTCAACACCTCTGATGGAGGGTATGGGCTGGTTTGGTCTTGGCATCAGATAGACCTTGGGCATTCTGAAAAAGGGCCCATCTCAGCTTACCTCCAGCCACCAGTATGGGGTTGGAGTGAGATCCCCAGCACCAACCTTACTGGGACATTAATTCCAGGTTCCTGGAGTTGAATCAGTTTTGCTAGGACCCTGGGGTCCTCTGGGGAAATGGTGGAGTGCAGTGACAAGACCTGGGGCTGTTGAATCATAGACTTCAAGTCAAAATCATACATCTACTA
This sequence comes from Homo sapiens, assembly GCF_000001405.40. Taxonomy (NCBI): domain Eukaryota; kingdom Metazoa; phylum Chordata; class Mammalia; order Primates; family Hominidae; genus Homo; species Homo sapiens. Next base: position 114,883,748 of record NC_000012.12, read on the forward strand.
CTCAAAATCATGCGTCTTCCCAGGTGGATGTGGGACCTGGGATGAGTCTCTGGACCATTCTTGGGCTCAGTTCCTTTGACTTTAAAGTGGGGATGACAATAGTGCTCACTCTACCAGGTTTGTGTATTATAATGATGGCCAATCTTGACCAAGTCCTTTTTAGGTACCAGGTACTAGTTAGGATGCTTTATAAAAATTTTAAATTTAACCCTTGCTGCAGTTCTACCTAGATGTCCCCTTTTAAAAAATATTATTTATTAAAAAAAAATCTTTGCAGAGATGGGGTCTCACTGTTTTGCCCAGGCTGGTCTTGAACTCCTGGGCTCGAGTGATCCTCCTGCCTCAGCCTCCCAAAGTGCTGGGATTACAGGTATGAGCCACTGCACCTGGTTCATGCCTCTTTTAGCTCTACTTTACAGATGGGGAAACTGAGGCCAGGGATATAACTTTAACTTGGCCTGGTTCACAGAGCTGATCCTTGGGGGAGCTGTGTGAGATTAGCACCCCATCTTCTTGGTGACACCATCATCTGTGCTCCCCTATCTCTCAGATGACACAAAGTGTGTCCCCTTCTCAGCAAATGGTAGCTGTGACATGCCAAGTAAAGGTCCCAGAACATAGTA